>NW_012132920.1:2141491-2365364 GCF_000001405.40 Homo sapiens
TTCTTTGGAGTAATGAGGTATGAGAATGATTGGATAGGGGTGAGTAGAGACTGAGATATGAAGAAGTAGAGGCAGAAAAAAAAGACAAGTCTTACGCTCTGAAGGGAAGCAGAAATGAAGTAGGATTGAGAAAGATAAAATTTAGTGTGCACATTGGAGTTGTTAGAAGTAAAAAGATGGGCCTTGGAGAAGAATTTGGGAAGCCAGTAGACAACTAAAAGTAACATTTCATCTCAAAGACTACAGAGATTTGTGGCTTTAGAGCCTCTGAAAGGTACGTAGTGCTTGGCCTGCTCATGTATGTTAGCAGAGGAATAGGATGTGATATGTATGTCTAGCCACCTGAAAAAATCTCTCTTTCAGCTTTCTTGTCGATGCTTGCACATCTTTAGAAGACCATATTCATACCGAAGGGCTTTTTCGGAAATCAGGATCTGTGATTCGCCTAAAAGCACTAAAGGTGAGCATATTGTTGAACTATTAATTTTTCATTTGAGCCATTTTCTGATTTGGTTTTTAAAACTGAAATATTTAGAACTATTAATATGAATAGTTGACAGAAATTGAATTTGCATTTTTTTCATGGCAGAAGATTTTTTTTTTCCAAAAGAAATGGTATATTATTTCTATCATGCTTTAAAAATTTAATAGGGTACTTTTAAATTCATGGTCCTTATTTCTATCAAGTATTATGTAAAATGAAAAAAATGTGTTAAGTTATATTGTTGTTAGCCTTCTAGAAGGAGTGATAGAGCTGAGTGTGGTGGCACATGCTTGTAGTCCCAGCTACTTGGGAGGCTAAGGCAGGAAGATTGCTTGAGCCTGGGAGTTTGAAGCCAGCCCAGGCCACATAGTCTGTGCCACATTTCTATAAAAATAAAAATAAATTCAAAAATCATTAAAAATAAAGTAGTGACATATATTAAAATAAGAGTTAAGAGAAATTTATTAAAGAAAAGTGTAATTAGAGTATAACAAAAGATACTTTATTTGCAATAAACTCTTAAGTTGCCAAAATACTCAAGATTATTATATTTATTTCAGAATAAAGTGGATCATGGTGAAGGTTGCCTATCTTCTGCACCTCCTTGTGATATTGCGGGACTTCTTAAGCAGTTTTTTAGGGAACTGCCAGAGCCCATTCTCCCAGCTGATTTGCATGAAGCACTTTTGAAAGCTCAACAGTTAGGCACAGAGGAAAAGAATAAAGCTACACTGTTGCTCTCCTGTCTTCTGGCTGACCACACAGTTCATGTATTAAGATACTTCTTTAACTTTCTCAGGAATGTTTCTCTTAGGTAAGTGGTAATTAAAACTCTTGGCAAATAATAGTTGAATTTTTCAACTAACGTTTTATGCTTGTAGATATGTACAATTTCATTTGGAATGGAAATTTTTCTTTAAAAATTCCATATTTCATTACTATGAGGAGTATACTCCAATTTAAGAAACAGCATACCAAATGATTTAATATTTCCTTATCTTAAAGTCATCATCATGAATGCCTTAATGGTTCATTGGTGTTTATAAGATTCATTGTCCACTGAAAGCCTTTGTTTACTGGGTTTTTAAAATATTTCTGTTTTGCTTTTCAAAATTTCCCTCTCCCTGCTGTCAGTGAGCCTGCTTATTCTAGACATACTTGCTGCCTTCTGATACTTCCAACTTTTTATGTGTAGGTCTGAAAATCAGATAAAGATGTTCAATTTGTGTGGAAAAGCAAAGTATGAACTCTAAGATTAGCATGGTTTTTAGAATACATATTTAAATATAGAGAGGCTATATATTTCTGGTTCTTTCTTGTGTTCAAGCCAATCATGTAGATGAAGGGTAACTATTTTGACTTGTGTATGACTGATAATAAGGTCTTCAAAATGTACTACATACGTTATTTTAACTCTTCTGTATTTTCACGTTTGGCTCCATCTAATAAAGCGTTTATTCACTTAAGATCCAGTGAGAATAAGATGGACAGCAGCAATCTTGCAGTAATATTTGCACCGAATCTTCTTCAGACAAGTGAAGGACATGAAAAGATGTCTTCTAACACAGAAAAGAAGCTACGATTACAGGCTGCAGTAGTACAGACTCTTATCGATTATGCATCAGATATTGGTAAGATGTAGTTGCATTATTAACAGAATTTGTTTAAATGAGGAAAATCTCTGTTTCTTTCAAAGGAACTATGAAGGCAACTGTTAGAAAGTTGGTATATTACTGACCTCACCCCCACCCTACAGTACCGGCCCCTCCTGCAAAGAAAAAAAGAAAAGAAATTGGTATATTAGTATCTAAACATTTTTGGGGAAGAGTGGAGGAAGGATAATAATTGTCTTACTTGTGAACATTTTCATTTAGGGCGTGTACCAGATTTTATCCTGGAAAAGATACCAGCCATGTTGGGTATTGATGGTCTCTGTGCTACTCCATCACTGGAAGGCTTTGAAGAAGGTGAATATGAAACTCCTGGTGAATATAAGAGAAAGAGAAGACAAAGTGTAGGAGGTAAGTGGCGGTCCCATTTTATGGAGGTACAGTGATTTGCTTTAATCGAAAGTACATTTCACATAAAGAAGCATGAACTGTGGTATGTGCCTTTTTGGTGCTTAAAGCACAGCTGGAAAGATAGGACGTATGCGTGTAAAAAGTTAAAGCGATAGTACAATCTAATGTTAAGTGCTACATCTTTAGCACAAACATAAAATGTGTTAAAAGGAGAAAAGTTCCCTGGATTGTAATTATCAGGGACTTGTCAAAGAGGAGCCAAACTGAACCTTCTTGAATAATGGATAGAATTTAGTGGGATTGGGTGGAGGATCAGAATACTTGTATCCTATTCTAGATGAGAAGGATGCTATGAAGAAAGGTTTGTGTAGGGAAGAAGTAACCTATGTCTAATGTAGATAGTGCAGTATGACTTGAGTGAAGTGTTCAGCATAAGGATAAAGGATGGTATTATGGTAAACTTAATGCCAGGCTAAAGAATTAGAATATTAACCTGGGTGTTGGTGAATCATTGAAGATTTATGATGTGAGGCATGATATGATTTAAAAATTTTAGAAAATTACCTGATTTGAAGAATTGAGACTTGGAAGTAGGGAGAATGGTCAGCAATGTGTGTCAGTAGTCCAGGCATGAGATTATTGTTTGAACTTGTTAGTGACATGGATTAGTTAGGAGTACGAACTAAATAATGAAGGAAATATTATCAAGGAAGAATCAGAAAGACCAAAAGACCATCATAAGATGGTAGAGTTGGTAATAAAACTTGCAATCTCCTTGATCAAGAAGTCAGAGGCCATTATTCTTCCAATTACTTTAGGAAATTTATTATCTTTTGAATATCAGAACCAAATGTTACTAACTATCCCAATCCCTTTTTCATCTTTTGGTTTATTTGTTATTGCATACTTGTGTTTCTTCTTTACCTCCTTTGTAGATAGGATAATACTGATGACTTATGTATGATTTTCCTAGGGCTACTGTAGCAAAGTACTACAAACTAGGTGGCTTAAATCAACAGAAATTTGTCTCACCGTTCTGGAGGCTAGAAGTCTGAAATCAAGGTGTTGGCAGAATGCCTGAAACCTGCAGGGGAGAATCCTTTCTTGCCTCTTCCTGGCTCCTGGTAGTGGCTGTCAGTCCTTAGCATTCCTTGGCTTGCAGCCGCGTCACTCCAATCCCTGCCTATGTCATCCTATGATGTTGCTCTGTGTCAGAACTTCCCTCTTACAGGGCACATTGGATTAGGGCCCACCCAAATGACCTCATTTTAACTCGAGTACATCTGTAAAGACACGAATTCCAAGTATGGTCACCTTCATAGGAACTGGGGGTTAGGACTTAAACATAGGTTTTTTGGAGAACACAATGCAACCCATAAAACTTCCTATCCCCAATGGAGATATTTCTCAGATGCAGATCATCTTTATTGCCCTCTTTCCCAGTCCTGTAGTTTCAGTTATCACCAGTCCTGTAGTTTCAGTTATCACATCTAAATAGATAACCACCACATCTGTACCACCGTTATCTTGAAAATGTCAGTTCCACTTTACTAATGGCTTGCTAGGGAGACCTCATCACATCTGCTTTTCATTGGTGCTTTAAGCTTAACGTTTTGAAATGACCATCTTTATCCTCTTTATCCTGGTTCTGTGTGAATTCCATTTTCTTCTAACAGCACCACTATTCCCTAGATACTCAGGCTTTAACCATGGGTTCTACCTCTTCCTCTACCATCTATAATCAGACAGTTTTCATGTCGTATAAGATTCTATCTCCGTAGTGTTTATTGCATTGTTACTGTAAGAATCTTCTTGGCCGGGCGCGATGGCTTACGCCTGTAATTCCAGCACTTTGGGAGGCCAAGGTGGGCGGATCATGAGGTCAGGAGATCGAGACCATCCTAGCTAACACAGTGAAACCCCGTCTCTACTAAGAATATAAAAAATTAGCTGGGCGTGGTGGCGGGCGCCTGTAGTCCCAGCTACTTGGGAGGCTGAGGCAGGAGAATGGTGTGAACCTGGGAGGCGGAGGTTGTAGTTGGCTGAGATCGGGCCACTGCACTCCAGCCTGGGCAACATAGCGAGACTCCGTCTCAAAAATAAAAATTAAAAAAAGAATCTTCTTGGTCTTTATGCCTCCTCCTTGAATCTACCCTACATATTGCTATTAAGGCTCACTTTTTTTTTTTTTTTTTGAGACGGAGTCTGTCTTTGTCACCCAGGCTGGGGTACAGTGATGCTACCTTGGTTCACTGCAATCTCCACCTCCTGGGTTCAAGCGATTCTCTTGCCTCAGTCTCCCAAGTAGCTGGGATTACAGGTGCACGCTACCACGCCTGGCTAATTTTTGTATATTTAGTAGAAAGGGGGTTTCACTGTGTTGGCCAGGCTGGTCTCTAACTCCTGACATCAAGTAATCTGCTTGCCTTGGCCTCCCAAAATGCTAGGATTACAGGTGTGAGCCACTGCACCTGGCCAAGGCTTACATTTTAAATGTATAACTCTACTCAAGTATCTCACACACATACCCTTCAGAAATTTTAATTGGTAATAGGGATATTTATAGCTTGGCATTAAAGGTCTTTCATAGGATTGCTCTAGCATACCTGTCTACTATTTCCTGTCTTTGAGCAACTTTAGTCAAACTATGTTATTTATTTTCCAGACACTTTTATTCATTTGCTTACACTATTTATTGATATAATGTTTTTACTTCCATCTCTACTGATCTTTTAAATACTTTTATTCGTGCCTCCATTTCCATGGTTCTTGCCTCAGTTCAGACCTTCATCTTTTGCCTTAACATGTAATGATTTCTTTTTCCCTACCCTTACTGTACATTATATGTATTTGTATTACATTTCTTTCTGTATTGTGTCTTTTTTATTTTAGGGATATGGAAGTATAAGTGGGGAATGGAATAAAAATATATCCTTTAGTATTTTTCCTATTTTGAAATAATTCCTCTTAAATAACTTAAAATTTATAAGCCGATGTAAAGTTACATGTTGAAAGAAGACTGCAAATATTAATATGAATTATTGGTGAAAGACAAGTAAATGTGAAGTTGTAATTGCTTATGCCTTGCATTTCAGATTTTGTTAGTGGAGCACTAAATAAATTTAAACCTAACAGAACACCTTCTATTACACCTCAAGAAGAAAGAATTGGTAGGTATTTATTATATGCATTTATTTAAATTAAAATTTGTATAGTATTCTATAAAATACAATTACAATAATAATTACCTAACTTAGTAATCAAATTTAGTTTAATCAAATCAAATATTATTTTTAATAGTCATACTGTACTATACACACTATGTTGTGACATTGCTAATTACATAGGCTATAATGAACCCAAAATTGTAGGCAAAAATTTTTTTAGTCTCCTGTCTTTAATCTTCTTAATCATGCTTTTCTGTTTGTAATTTAGATGCTATTAAGCGTGTGAAAATAGTTCAACCTCATTTTTATCTTAGGACTAGAAGTTCATTATTGTATATTTCAATTTTTTATCCTAATTTGCTTGTGGCTGAAATTATTCAGCCAGTAAGAGTCAACATGATCTTCTGTTTTCTAGAGTGAAGAAATGAACTGGTTAATACTCACTTATGATGAAAAGCAAAAATAATATTTAGATTAGTTTTTGTTTCAACTCCTTGATTGTAATTTCTTCCTTACATCAATATTCTTTAATGTATATCATATGCATCTTTTAGTCTGTTAGATTTAAGTAACTGCTGTCTCTTAAGAGTCTTGCCTCTGCGACTTCCTTATTTTCATTTAAGTAATTGCAGAGTGTTTTAGTTAAACAACATCTACTTAACTGATGATGTAAATATATTCTCATTTTTTGTTTAGCTCTAAGTAATAGCTTTATAAGAAGAAATTATGTAAAGCTTTTATATGTTGTCAACTCTGCAGTAGAAACAAGTTGGTTTTGTTTTGATATTTTTTCAGCCCAGCTATCTGAATCACCAGTGATTCTTACACCAAATGCTAAGCGTACATTGCCAGTAGATTCTTCTCATGGTTTCTCAAGTAAGAAAAGGAAGTCCATCAAGCACAATTTTAACTTTGAGCTGTTGCCAAGTAATCTCTTCAATAGCAGTTCTACACCGGTATCAGGTAGCAAATAGAATTTATATAAATGGATTGTAAAGATTAAAATGAGTGCCTATTCTGGGCACAGTGCAATTTCATATTAATAATACCACCCTTAGGAACTAGAACTTTATTCTGTTTTATCCAACCTATGAATTTTTATAAAACCCCCTGCCTTTTAAAATAGACACTGTTTCAATATAGTGTGTGTGTGTGTGTGTGTGTGTGTGTGTGTGTGTTATGACAACATCTATTGAAAGTTGTGATAACCCAGAGTAGTAGTTTGGGCTTCTGGTGATAGCATTGATGCTTAGGTTTTATGTGATTAGACATCCTGAATCCTGCTATAGTTACATCTGGGTCTATAGCTGTGGCTTTATTGCTGTCATTTGTTGAATTGAGGTTGCCAGATGTTTGATCATGTCTGATTCCCAAGTGGGAGTGTTACTATTGCAGGTTATGGTTTGAAAATGAGGGTATTTTTAAAGTTTTAGACTCAAGTACCTTTTGTAAAAGCTTTAGAACTTTGTTGACGCTGTTCCTTGTGCCATGGCTTCCAGATCCCTTACCAGCCCAGCCATTTTCTTCCATATTAACTACAAGTTCTAATGTGGCCAACCAGAGCCTTCAGAGAGTAATAGAGTATGATCATGCTAATCCGGAGATTAGTCTGGGTCTTAGATTCAATTGGCTCTTTTAGCATATACAGAATTCAAGTTGGCTCATATTAACCTTACGATCAACCAAAAATGAAATGAAACTCTAAGCCCAGGGTCCTCCATCTCATTTATCTTACATTTAGTCAAAATGTGAGTGATCTCTGATTATTTTAGATTTTTTATTTTGTTGGTTTCAGACAATGTTAAGTTTCATTTTTGATTCATTATCTGAGTTATATGAGTTCCTTCCCAAAGCCTGTCTCTTTTTTCTGTTGTCCAAAAGGGTTCTTATTTGTTTTATTGAGAAGTTGAACAGAATAGCAACTTGAGGTTTTCCAGAAAAAAACACTGCTTCACAGGTTCTCTAGGGCTCATTGAAATGTGATGATAGTAACTCTGAAGCTTATGTCTGTAGCTTTTGCAGTGTTCACAGGTTGGAGACTTAAACTTTTTTAAGTAACATAGTTCAGTTGTTTTTTTTTTTGAATATATCCTTTGCAGTTTGGAGGACTTTTTCCAAATGGCAAATGGGAGTTGTAGTTCTACCTGCCTTTGCTTATTAGCATTACATTTTCCCCAAGGAATGAACATACTGATTCCTTCTTCTCCTCCTCCAAGCTCCCAAAACAGAGGTTAAACAGTCTTGTGCTATTTTTAGTTTGAGCTTGCCTAATCAATGAATTTTTTTATAAAAAAATTTAAAAGTTCAACAATAGTAATCGTATTATTTTTACACCACTTTTCTTTGACCCTACTTTCTCAGCCACAATTCAACAAATTCCATTTGCAAAATTGAAAATAGATTGATTTCTAAGTTTAGATTATAACAAATATGATGCTTTTAAAAATATATAAAGGCAACATTAGTCTGTAGTCCATAGAGTATCTATTCATAATTGTCTCTTTTTTTTTTTTTGAGACAGAGTTTTGCTCTTGTTGCCCAGGCTAGAGTGCAATGGCACAATCTCGGCTCACTGCAGCCACCACCTCTCAGGTTCAAGCGATTTTCCTGCCTCAGCCTCCCAGGTAGCTGGGATTATAGGTGGCCACCACCACACCTGGCTAATTTTCTTTTGCATTTTTAGTAGAGACGGGGTTTCACCACGTTGGCCAGGCTGGTCTTGAACTCCCGACATTAGCTGATCAACCTGCCTTGGTCTTCCAAAGTGCTGGGATTACAGGTGTGAGCCACCATGCCTGGCCATAATTTTCTTACAGATGTGATAAATTTGCATTGTTCCATATATTCTGACTGTGCCTCCTGCGACCATTGACACATTTTTTATTTTTATTTTTTGAGACGGAGTCTCGCTCTGTCTCCCAGGCTGGAGTACAGTGGCATGATCTTGGCTCACTACAACATCCACCTCCGATGTTCAAGTGATTCTTGTGCCTCAGCCTCCTGAGTAGTTGGGATTACAGGCATGCACCACCACACCCAGCTAATTTTTGTATTTTTAGTAGAGATGGGATTTCACCATGTTGGCCAGGCTGGTTTGAACTCCTGGCCTCAAGCAATCCGCCCACCTCAGCCTCCCAAAATACTGGGATTACAGACGTGAGTCACGGTGCCTGGCCGGACACATTTTTAAAGTGACTAGACTGCAGCCCTAGAATAAAGCTACTTATGTCACTTTAGATGTATAATATTGGCTTCCAAAATTTTCTTTAGCTAAATGCACCCAAAAGTTTCTAAGGTGGTTGTATTTTTTCCGTTTTCATAATTGAAAAAATGTGAATGTCTCTGGGAAACTTTGTGAATTCTTTATTAATAACTCAGATGAATTGAGAGGGTTCATGTTTGTTGAATGTGTCCTGGGCGTGATTCAAACATAAATGTATATGGAGCCTTTGTTCATAACTATTTTACTTCTTTCGTAATTGTTTACTATAGTTGATTTCATAATATAAATGGTGTTAAATAATTGAGCTTCTGTTGTACCAGTAATTATTTGCATGGAACACAGCAGCAGCCAAGGGATTAGGAATGTGTTATAGAATAATTAGTTTTTGTTTACTTGCCAAAAATATTGAACAAATTACATTCCGGAATCAGGTGGGTAGCAGTTGGCCAGCAGGTATATCTCAAATACTCAGATTCCAACTTGTTTGCCAATAGCTTATTTTTTATAATACCATTAATTGGTATTATGTACTAGATACTGACTAAATATTTTATATAGATAACAGTAATATTCATCATAGAAGTCCGTTTTCAGAGCCTAAAGCCATTTAGTAAGTGATGGAGCAAACTCAAGCCTGTCTCCAAATCTTGTTCTTTTTCCAGTCTGCAATGGTGCCTATCCCTGCCTTGTATTATTAACAGAGTTTAAAGAAAAGCTCTAATATAAAAGTAATGCTTAAGCTGACCTTTAATTGGCAAGTCAAAAGTAAAAAATGAATGCTTTTTCTTAGCTGAGTTGGGTTATTTGACACTTGAAGTTTCTAACCAGAAATTAAGTGATTTCGGTTGTTGCTTGGGATAGAAATTAAGGCTTTGAATCTAATTGCTGCTATTACTATTTTATACTTTAAAAGGAAAATAGATATGTGTGGTATATTACATGTGGTTATTTTTGTAGTTCACATCGATACAAGCTCAGAAGGGTCATCTCAGAGTTCACTCTCGCCTGTACTCATTGGTGGAAACCATTTGATCACTGCAGGTGTGCCAAGGCGAAGTAAAAGAATTGCAGGCAAAAAAGTTTGCAGGTACTTTATCCAGGACATTTTGTTTTCATCGGATAAATATTTGGTGTACACATAATTAATAAAATGTTTTGTCTTTCTGTCAAGCATCATATTTGAGTCATAATTTTTTAAAATCCCTTCTGCCTTTATAGTCTTATTAATCAATTGCCTTTTCAATACCCACCAGAGAAAAATTACTAATTTGAGTCCGCTTTGCTTGCTTAAAATCCTATTTTATGTTGATGGTGTAATTTTAAAATTTCCTGTTAGAGGCTGGGCACGGTGGCTTATGCCTGTAATCCTAGCACTTAGGGAGGCTGAGGTGGGTGGAGCACTTGAGCTCAGGAGTTCAAGACCAGCCTGGGCAACATGGCAAAACCTCATCTCTACTAAAAAGTACAAAAATTAGCCAGGCATGGTGCCACATGCCTGTAGTCCCAGCTACCTGGGAGGCTGAGGTGAGAGGATCATCTGAGCCCAGGGATGTCAAGGCTACAGTGAGCTGTGATTATGCCATTATACTCCAGCCTGGGCCGCAGAGTGAGACCCTGTCTCAAAAAATAAAAAACAAAAAAAAAAATTCCTTTTAGGTTAAAAAGCTAGCCTATTCTAACAATTCTGAGTTATAACTGACTGACTAACTTTTAAGATTAGCAGATCATTTTTTATGCAAATGCAGTGTGTTCATGTATGGTATCTTAAAGTTGAACTGTTTTTAAAGAATTATTAATCCATCCAATTATTATCAATATGATTTGCTGTGGACTTTATTTCAAATTTCGTATTTTAAGTATTTCTCTGGTGTTTATACTATAAACTGACATTTTTAATTCCACTTCTTCTAGAGTGGAATCAGGAAAAGCAGGCTGCTTTTCTCCTAAAATCAGCCATAAAGAAAAGGTTCGAAGATCTCTGCGTTTGAAATTCAATCTAGGGAAAAATGGCAGAGAAGTAGTAAGTTTCTTACCATTTTATTGATCTTTATATTAGCATAACGCTATAAACTTGATACTAAAAAACACTCATAGCCCTACCTTCCTTCCAGTGACTGTCTCATTCTGTTCTTTTTATCCAAAACTCTTATACTTGAGTTGATATCAAATTTCCTTGCATTGGAGTACCCAAAGCTTAGTCCTTGGACTTCTCTTTTTTCTCTCCACTCACTCAAGGTGATCATCAGTTTTAAACATTATATACAGGTTGAGTAGCACTTATCCAGAATGCTTGAGACCAGAAGTATTTCAGATTCCCCATTTTTGGGGGGGATTTTGGAATATTTACATTATTTTTACTAGTTCAGCATCCCTAATCTGAAAGTCTGGAATGCTCCAGTGAGCATTTTCTTTGAACATCATGTCAAATACTTAAAAGCTTTGGATTTTTGGAGCATCCAGAACTTTGGCTTTTCAGATTTGGAATGCCCAACCTGTATTTACTTAAAACTTCCAAGTTTATGTTCTCTAGTCCCAAATGCTCTTCTGAATGACTCCGCTGTCTCTTAACATCTGCTTTTTTGACTCTCCTACTTGGATATCTAATCCAATAGGCATTTCAAATGTAACCTGTCCCAAGCAGATGGATTTCTTTGCTGCTGCTATGCCCTGCACCAAACAACACTTTTACCTGTGGTTTTCCCTATCTCAGTTATGGCAAATCGTTCTTCCAGTCACTTAAGCCAAAAACCATGGTCAAATCCTTGATTCCTCACTTTCTCTGAGACACCATGTCTAATCCATTAGAGAATCTTGTCTAACTTCTGCTTTTAGAGTATCTCCAAACTGACCAGTTCTCACTATTACTACTTTTCCCACTTTCTCTAAGTTCTGTCATCTCTCAGCTGGATTACTCTAGTAAACTCCTGTTAATAGTTCTTCCTTCTCCTACCCTTGCTGCAGTTCTGTAGTTGAAATTTATCTTTTAAAATCTGTTAGGTTATGTAGTTTTCTGCTCAGAACTCTCCAGTGACTCCTCGTTTCACTCTGAATAAAAGCCAGAGTTCTCATGTTGACCTGCAAAGGCCTCACGTGATCTGTTCTCAGGCTGCATTTCTGAGCTCTCCTCCAGTCCCCCTTGCTCACTCTGCTCCAGTCTCAGAGACTGCACTGGCATTCTGCTCTTTCTGTAGTGTTCTTCCCCCTTAAATCTTCATGGCTCTCACCTTTGTTTTGTTTTACTCACAAATTATCTTCTCATCACCCTATTTTAAACTAAACCTCCATTCTTCACCACTCCATATCCTTTTTACTCTGTTTTACTTTTCTCCGTAGCACTTTTCACCTTGTATATTGTATTTATGCAATATAATTTACTGTTTATCTTAAGTCTAAATTTCCCCATCTAAATAGAATGTAAATTACATAAGGATAAGATTTTGGTCTAGGTACCCCACTGCCCCAACTATTTGTGAACAGGCCCTAGCACAGAGTCAGAGCACACACAGAAATTATTTTAATTAATATGTGAGACTGTTTTAAAAATAGATCATAAAATATCAACTAATAGCAAAATCAAATGATTACAGTTTTCATTAGCAGGCAAGAATGTTTGTCATTGTTAAGAATTGTTTCTCAATTATATATCCCTTTTTAAATCAGCTAAAGATTTTGATAACTACAAAAAATTATTCTGTCTTTATATTTTGAATTAACTAGGCTTATTTCTTAACTAAAACTTTTTTTTTTCTGTACAGAATGGATGTTCTGGTGTCAATAGATATGAAAGTGTTGGTTGGCGACTTGCAAATCAACAAAGTTTAAAAAATCGAATTGAATCTGTAAAAACAGGTTTGCTTTTTAGCCCAGATGTTGATGAAAAGTTACCAAAGAAAGGTACATTTACATACTACTGTTAGAGTTTTACCTAAAAATCCTGCTTTAGTTGCTTTTTTAATGGCAAAACATATTAATTAATTTACTGTTCTAGAGATTAAAAGTTCATGTTTGAATAGTGAAAATATTAGAATTGGCAATGTATTTTTCTATCAACAATTGGGAAATGCTTATACATGTAAATATGAAAATGTTTGACATTCTTATGTTAAAAATTATTTCTTGTAACACAAATACTTTATTAGAATTAAATGCTTAGTGACTTATTTGCCATGTGCTTGGGTATTATTTCAAAACAAGGTTAAATACAAAGGATTAAGCACTGAACTGCTTTATTTTAGGTTCAGAAAAGATCAGTAAGTCTGAGGAAACCTTACTAACTCCAGAGCGACTAGTTGGAACAAATTACCGGATGTCTTGGACAGGACCTAATAATTCAAGTTTTCAAGAAGTAGATGCAAATGAAGCTTCTTCAATGGTGGAAAATCTTGAGGTAGAAAACTCTTTGGAGCCTGATATTATGGTAGAAAAGTCACCTGCTACTTCATGTGAACTCACCCCTTCCAATTTAAACAATAAGCATAATAGCAACATAACAAGTAGCCCTCTTAGCGGGGATGAAAATAACATGACCAAAGAGACTTTGGTGAAAGTTCAAAAAGCGTTTTCTGAATCTGGAAGTAATCTTCACGCATTGATGAATCAGAGGCAGTCATCAGTAACTAATGTGGGGAAAGTAAAATTAACTGAACCATCTTATTTAGAAGATAGCCCAGAGGAAAATCTATTTGAAACTAATGATTTGACTATAGTAGAATCAAAGGAGAAATATGAACACCACACTGGTAAAGGTGAAAAATGTTTTTCAGAGAGGGACTTTTCACCCCTTCAAACTCAAACATTTAATAGAGAAACAACTATAAAATGTTATTCAACTCAGATGAAGATGGAACATGAAAAAGACATTCATTCAAATATGCCAAAAGATTATTTAAGCAAGCAAGAATTCTCCAGTGATGAAGAAATAAAGAAACAGCAGTCCCCAAAGGATAAACTAAATAATAAATTAAAAGAGAATGAGAATATGATGGAAGGTAACTTACCGAAGTGTGCAGCACATAGCAAGGACGAGGCTAGATCCTCTTTCTCACAGCAGAGTACATGTGTTGTAACAAACTTGTCAAAACCTAGGCCTATGAGAATTGCTAAACAGCAGTCATTGGAAACATGTGAGAAAACAGTTTCTGAAAGTTCACAAATGACAGAACATAGAAAGGTTTCTGATCACATACAGTGGTTTAACAAGCTTTCTTTAAATGAACCAAATAGAATAAAAGTCAAGTCACCTCTTAAGTTTCAGCGTACTCCTGTTCGTCAGTCCGTCAGAAGAATTAATTCTTTGTTGGAGTATAGCAGACAACCTACAGGGCATAAGTTGGCGAGTCTTGGTGATACAGCTTCTCCTTTGGTCAAATCAGTGAGCTGTGACGGTGCTCTTTCCTCTTGTATAGAAAGTGCATCAAAAGATTCCTCTGTTTCATGTATCAAATCAGGTCCTAAAGAACAGAAGTCCATGTCATGTGAAGAGTCAAATATTGGTGCAATTTCAAAGTCAAGCATGGAGTTACCCTCGAAATCTTTCTTAAAGATGAGGAAGCACCCAGATTCAGTGAATGCTTCTCTTAGGTCTACTACAGTTTATAAACAGAAGATCTTATCTGATGGCCAAGTTAAGGTTCCCTTGGATGATCTGACTAATCATGATATAGTAAAACCAGTTGTAAATAACAACATGGGCATTTCTTCTGGGATAAATAACAGGGTCCTTAGGAGACCATCAGAAAGAGGAAGGGCCTGGTACAAAGGTTCTCCAAAACATCCTATCGGAAAAACTCAATTACTACCAACAAGTAAACCTGTAGATTTGTAATTGGTAAATGTTATACTTGTCATTAATGTAAATAAAGTGAGTAATTGGTATGACTTGCAGGATGATGTACATGTTAGTTTGTAGCTCAGGATGATTGTTAAGCAATAGATTTGCTCTATTGAAAATGTTTCATTTTTTTCACTGTACAAGCAACTTAGATTTTTATTTGTACAAATTACTTCTTTGTTTTTCTTAATGATGGCAATTTTTAAACTTTAATTTTATTGTGATCTCTTAAAGCAGAGGTTAGACTTTACCTTTCTGACTCTGTCGTCCAGGCTGGAGTGCAGTGGCGCAATCTCACTGCAAGCTCCACTTCCTGGGTTCATGCCATTTTCCTGCCTCAGCCTCCCGAGTAGCTGGGACTACAGGTGCCCGCCACCACGCCCAGCTAATTTTTTGTATTTTTAGTAGAGACGGTTTCACCGTGTTAGCCAGGATGGTCTCGATCTCCTGACCTTGTGATCCGCCCGCCTCAGCCTCCCAAAGTGCTGGGATTACAGGCATGAGCCACCACGCCCGGCTAGACTTTACCTTTCTAAAGAAATTGTTTACTGGATTTATAAGAAGTTAATTTTTGAAAATGACATATTTTTGTGTGATAGAAAGAATGGAGCAAGTTGTGCCTATTTCCTCCAAGTCAGATAAGGTTTCTAAAATAAATAAATTTCTAGCATATAAAGGGTAGAGATAAACTCTGCAAATCTTATGTCTGGAATTATATTAATGTTTATTGTCCTTGCCAAAATTCCTAGAAATTAATTTCCTTCAATAGCATCCTAAAACTCTATTTTTATTTGGGGCAGAGTAATTTCATTTATAGTGCCAGTAGGTGTACCTTGTGTTCACTCGAACTAAGAACAATGGTTAAGGCAGAATAATGACTAAAATATGTTCATATATTATGATGTGGAAATAATTGATAACTTTTAAGCCATACTATGTTTTTAAAGATAATTTGCACAAACACGTTTGTGTCTGTTCTGTCCAATATAGATTTGGCAATTATTTAAAGAGGGATAATCTTGAAAAAAATTAACCAAGGTGATTTCTTATATGTAGATGCTCGATTTTGGAATTTGAAATAGTAGATGCACCTCTTTACCTTTTTTACTTGGATAAAAACCTATGATGATTTTGTCCTGTGTGTAAATGTTATTTATTTAGCATAGACATTAAAGATAACTCTCTGGAAAATGACTTGACTAAGGCTCTCATGAAATTCAAAGTGCCATTTAGAACATGCACCAAATTGTCAAGTAAATCTGTCTAAATTTATATTTTAAATTATTACAAATTACACATCTTTGAGGAAAGAGTATTATGAACAATAGAACATATTCTCTAGGTTGTAGAGGAAGGAATAAGCAGACAGAATCAACCACTAAAGGTAGTTTTTCAGATTGGTTGTTAGAATGTCATGTTTAGATGTTGGAGCAGATTAGAGCAGCATTCATGCCACTCGGAGCAACCAGACTTACAGCATAAGTATGTACGAGGAATTTCAAATCATCAGATGTTTGCTTGGCTAGGTTCTACTTTGTTTATTTGATATCAAATAGGTTTGTAGATGTTTATGGCATTTCTAATTGTAAGTAGAGACAAAATATTCATATAGTCAGATATATGTTGTCTGCTTTAAACAATTTTTAAATTTTAAAAATGCATTAACGTCTTTTTATATCCATCAAGGGAAGGATGAAATGTTGAATTTGAAGACTAATTCAGTAAGAAGTCCTAGGGGTTTAACTGTACATACTACCTGAACTGGCTTTTCTGAGAGATGAATCAATAATGAAACATGTCTGTTTTAAAAACTACCACATGTGACTCCTATTTTTGTTAGCTGAAAGCTGCAATACGGAGTATTACAGAAATGTGAAGGTGACTAGCTTGAAGGTAGGGTAACTAGAGAGCCAGAAAAGTTTTGTTTTAAACTTGATTTAATGCGTTTTTATTTTTTCTTATACAAAATAGAGATAATGTTGCTAACTTCATGGAATATTTGAGGAAATGATATGAAAGTGTCTGGACGTGCAGTAACCTCATGGCTTCTTCTCACTGTCTTATAAATGTAAATAAAGATCTAATATTAATTTGGTTATCTAATAACAACTTAATACATAGAACTTAGTAGACTGCATGGCCACATTCTATAATATGATCACTAAGAACTTAATGTAGGATTTTAATAGTCATGTTTTTCTTAATTGTGGCAGAATTTAAACCTTAATTTTGTGATCTTTTTTAGTTAGTTTTTTGTTTTCTTTTCTTTTTTTTTTTTTTTTTTTTTTTTTGAGGCGGAGTCTCACTCTGTCGTCCAGGCTGGAGTGCAGTGGCACAATCTCAGCTCACCGCAACCTCCATCTCCCGAGTTCAAGCGATTCTTCTGCCTCAGCCTCCCAAGTAGTTGGGACTACAGGCATGCACCACCACGCCCAGCTAATTTTTGTAGTTTTAGTAGATACGGGATTTCACCATATTGGCCAGGCTGATCTCGAACTCCTGACCTTGTGATCCTCCCACCTTGGCCTCCCAAAGTGTTGGGATTATGGGCGTGAGCCACTGCACCTAACCTCTGTGATCTCTTAAATATATATGAGGTTTTATTTTTGAAACACCAAATTTCAAATGAAGCATAGGCATTTTGATCTATTTCAGTTAAATTTAACACAAAAGCAGTAAATTGTAGTGACTTCATTTTTTTCAACCACAAAATGAAGATAACAATGAACAAAGCTAAAGTAAAACTCAGAATTGAAAAAAGTCTCTGTGCATCAATAATAAATACTAACTCCAGCATGGCCAGTGAGCCTAGAGCCATTTAATGGATAGTGTTTGTCCTGTTGATTTAGCATGCATTGAAACAAGAAGCAAGAAGCAGATGAGCATCCGTGAAAGAAAAAGTACTGGGAAAGAGGCTTGGCTTCAAAATGAAAGGCCATGTGTCTCATAAATGAATTTTGCCAGCCTCTATTTATTGCATAAAAATTGCTGTAGATGATAATGGATTTGCTCTCTAGAGCTAAGATAAATAGATCTGGATTCTAACCTCATCAGGTTACTTGTTTTGAGACCCCCAGGTTCTTTACTCATCCTCCATCTTGATCAAATTTGTAGTGCCATATTTATTGTATGGCTTTACATTTTGATTTTAGTATTTGAACAAATTTCAGTGTTCAAGATTGCACATAGTAGGTGCTCCATAAACCCTTATTTAAGAATCTGGGACTACCTGGACATACTTCTACAGTATGCTGGGAGTATGGTTTCTCTTCAGGCCAAAGTGGAATTTTACTTGATGGTTTGTGTGGACGTTTAGAAATAACACTCAGAGCTGATATTTCTACAGATTTTCAAGTTTATCACTTTAATGGAAGTTTCTGGCTTCTTGTATTAAATATCCCCATAGTTTTCCTGATTAGTAAGAGGCCCCTCAGAGCAGGGTATACCTTATCATAGCCACCATTAAAAGTTCTTAGGACTTCATCTTTTGTCTCTCTACCATTCATTGCCTCTTCCCTCTTGAAGCTGAAAGGCTTTAGACACAAAAACAAAAAACATATTCTAGAAGTTGACAAAATTAAAGGTGTGCTGTAGTGGTGATCTGGCACGTTGTAATTGAGACTGAGGAGGTGAATGACTTACATGGAGGTCGATGGAGCTGAAGAGGGTCTCTAGGAAATGTCATAGTCAAGAGGTTTGTATGCAGAATGTGGGGGTTGAAGAGCTGTGCGGCTCCTGGTGAGAGGCACACTTATCTGGGATGCAGTCTGGGGAGTCCTGGCGAGGCAGCTTCCACCTGCTGGAGGAGGGGCCGGGGCGGAGCTAAGATGCGGAGGAGGGTGACGCACTAGCTCTCCAGTTCGCCCGTTCCTGGCCTGACCCCCACCAAGGCCCATACCGCTGTAGGCTCCTCGGGCTGCCCCTCGGTGAGTACAGTTTTGATGTCGGCTCGGCCGCCTGCCGCCAACCCGAGATTTGGTATTGCCAGTTGTGGGAGGGCGTCCTGCTAAAATCCTTGAGGTGGAGGCTGGGGTCAGACAAAGGATGCGTAGGGGATTAGAATGTTTGGCTATCAGTAAGGGGAAGGGAGTACTGAGGGAGGAGATTGTGTAGTTCATCAAATCAGAGCGGCGTTTGCTGGGATGACATCCTGCATTCAGAGTGGACAAGGGAAAGATGGAGATGGAGAGCCTCGTGTCTGCCTCCAGCCTTTTCCATCAGAATTGCAGATTTTGCTGTTAAACAGCTACTCTCAGCTCTTTGGAGAGCAAGGTTTTATATCTAGTGGCTAGAAAAGGCCTTTTCTTTGCAGAAAAAGAAATTGGAGGGTATAAAAATTTTTGTTTCAGTAAAGGAAATGCACGATTTTGCCTCCTCCCACCTCTCCATCCCCCATCCTCAGTAGAAGAATGATTAGAAGGAGGGTTTGCGCCGGTCCTGGTGGCTCACGCCTGTAATCCTAGCGCTTTGGGAGGCTGAGGGGAGGGGGTGGATCACCTGAGGTCAGGAGTTCGAGACCAGCCTGACCAATATGGTGAAACCCTGCCTCTATTAAAAATACAAAAATTAGCCGGGTTTGGTTGTGGGCGCCTGTAATTCCAGCTACTCGGGAGGCTGAGGCAGGAGAATCACTTGAACCTGGGAGGTGGAGGTTGCAGTGAGTCGAGATGGCGCCACTGCACTCCAGCCTGGGCAACAAGAGTGAAACTCCGTCTCAAAAAAAAAAAAAAAAAAAAAAAAAAAAAGGGTTTGCAAGGCCGCTGCCTGAAGCATGCATCCAAACACGTTAAGCAGCTGTGGGGTAAGCTGCAAGGATAATGTTCACTTGTTTTGCAGACATACCCATAGAAACCAACATTTTGGACAGGTTGACCCTCCCACCCCCAGGCTAGTTAACTCCCTCTCACCACCACTGCCTCCCCATATTCTAACCTCCAGAACTGTTAAGGCAATGTTAGCAACATAATAATAGCAATATAGGGGCTCATTCTGTGCCTGGCATTGTCCTAAACACTCTTAACATGTATTTGCACACAGCCTCACAACAACCCTAAAAGGTAAATGCTTTAATTATCTCCGTTTTGCAGAGGAGGAAACTGAGGGACTTGCCTACGATCACTCAGCATGTGGCTGAGCAAACAAACCTCAAACTACCCCAGCAGATTGCAGGGCTGGATCTAAGGAACATTTTCCTTCCTTTCAGGATCGCAAACGTATTGGATGTTTGCTAAACTGAAATGTTTCCCTGCCACCACTCCCAACCTTCCTGAGCTTCTTGATTTGTGTCTTCCTGACTCCCTCCTGTTAGACTTTTATTCCCAGAGACTGGGAAAACCCAAGATGCCACTATCTCTTTCTCAAAATGTAAGCAAGTTTGGTTTATTTGTTTTAGTAAGAGAGGGAGAGAGTGATGAAGTTAGGAGTAATGCAGAACTTTCAGGGAGCTACAAGGAGGATAAAAATTATGAGTGAGAACCGCCATTCCAGCCTAGCTTTCTCAAGAATGCAAACAGAGGGAATTGGATACCTGCAACTGTTTTGTTTAATACCTTTCTGCAATGATGCTCTGCCTAGCATGGAAACTTAAGACAAAAGCAACCTCCTAAGGATTCTTTGTTACAACCCCTTTCTGGGTGGTCCTCGAACCACAACCTGGAGTGGTTGCATCATTATAATTGTATTATCACAATTGCCGATTGTAGCCTATCAGTATACATTTGGTCTTTTATCTGCAGGTTGACAATGGTCTCCAGGATGGTCTCTACCATGCTATCTGGCCTACTGTTTTGGCTGGCATCTGGATGGACTCCAGCATTTGCTTACAGCCCCCGGACCCCTGACCGGGTCTCAGAAGCAGATATCCAGAGGCTGCTTCATGGTGTTATGGAGCAATTGGGCATTGCCAGGCCCCGAGTGGAATATCCAGCTCACCAGGCCATGAATCTTGTGGGCCCCCAGAGCATTGAAGGTATTTACTGTGTTCTGATGGTTTGAAGTTTCCGTTAGCATTTTAAATAATATATTTGCACACTTCTCACAACAACCTTATAAGTAGATGCCTTTATTATCCTATTTTTTTCAGAGGAGGAAGCTAATTTTTAAGAGACTCTACTTTCTCATGGTTTTCCCTTTCTTCTTCTACACAGTGTCTACATACTTACATATACACACCCACATGAGACTATAAGTCCTGTGAGAGCAGGGACCTTATCTATCTAATTCATAGCTGTAGCCCTAGCACCTAGCACAATGTCTGGTACATAATAGGTGCTCAATTAATGTTTGTTGAATGAATGAAGGAGCATCTAGTGTTATCACTAAAGAAAGATTAGAACCCAGACATGATGTTTTCTCCTCACTGCTGATCTTCAGGAAATTGTGTCATCAGATAGCTGCCTTTTGAGTCAATGCCAGCCAGTACTTGTAAAAGAGCTTCAAAATGTAGAACCTACAGGATCTGACTTGATTCCTAGGAATGACTCCAGTATACCCAAGAGGAGACAAAAGAGGTACTGACATTAAGAGTTTACGTGAAAGCTTTTGAAAATATTTAAAAATATAACAATTTTATTAAATAATAAATTAAGAATAATTAAATCGTTTTAAGGTGGCAAGACCATTTTCCCCCTGAAGTTTTCCAAGTTTCTGGCAATGTGGTCATAATACTTGTATTAGAAAGCAGTACTTCATTTGTTTGTTGTTTAATGATTTGTTTATAAAGAGAATCTAGCTTCTATGAGCTGGTGATGCAGCGTTAGACAGATTCCTTATTTCCATGCTTTGCTTTTTATCCTCTGATTCTAATGATCTCCTTCTCCACTAAGGCAGAATCCTAAAGAAGTAGCATGGTTAATTTCAGTTAAATGCAAGGGAGCATTTCCTTATAGTTCAAGGATTTGCCCATGGAGTGGGTCCGAAGGAAAATGAGAATTATCTCTAAAAGCATACCAACCAAATGCTGTTTGTTCCCTACAGATTGATTATGCACTATTTTGCCAGAGTCTGTGATTTTCTAAAAATGCTATCTGCCCTAGGGTTCTGTGAATGCCATGAATATTGTTGATAGATGATTCTTATTTCTGTTTTGTTACCCATAGTTTTAAGCCATTGAGTAAAACTAATTCGGTGAGATTGTAGTCTGTTTAGGTTGACATTTGATTTCAGGAGTGGATTAACACAAATGCGTTGAATCAGCAAGCATGCAAACCTAGCACATGGCTTGAATTAGAACAAATCCGACAGAGCTTCCTGTCATCCCTTTTAGGGAGAATCTCAGTCCTTCTCAGCATCTGTCACCGTTACTTCAAGCACACCTATATATTTCAGGCCAGCTCTTTTGAGACAAACAATAAATATCTACCTTTTTAAGGCAGGAAGTGCTTGGTTATTCACCTAAGCTGTTGTCATGGAGCTCTCTGAGTTTCCACTAATACCTGAGGCCTGATCAGCTGTGCTGGAAAAGAAACAGCCACTCCCGGGGCATCAAAAGCCTCTTTATCCAGAGACTCCATTCCCTCCAGTATCCAACTATTTAGTACCCACTATATACCAGGCACTAGGCAGGAGACTGGTGCAGCTCTGCCCTAAAGATTCACAGTCTGAGTGGAGAGGGAAGTGGGGACACACATCAAAAGTTATGACAGTGCATCCCAGCAGGTGTTTTGATAGATGTACACACAAGCTGCCGCCGTGGAAGCAAACAGGAGTAATTTAGTCTGCTTAGGAGTG
Source organism: Homo sapiens (assembly GCF_000001405.40). Classification (NCBI taxonomy): domain Eukaryota; kingdom Metazoa; phylum Chordata; class Mammalia; order Primates; family Hominidae; genus Homo; species Homo sapiens. The sequence continues at coordinate 2,163,945 of NW_012132920.1, forward strand.
GATGGGGTGGCTATAAGGAAATGCTGCTTTGAAGAAGCAACATTTGACCTGGGTTTTGAAGTTTGAGTAAGAGTTCATCAGGGAACCATAAGTGTAAAGGCATGGAGGTACAACTATTACGTACCCACAAAAACTAAAAAAATAAAAGGCATGGAGACATGAAAGATCATGGATTAGGACAATTCAGAATTAAAAACTCTGTTTCCCTTATTACCCTTGGAATAATGTGCTTAACATAGCAATTTTTTTTTCTTCTTTTTGAGACAGAGTCTCACTCTGTCACCCAGGCTGGAGTGCAGTGGTGCAATCTTGGCTCACTGCAAGCTCTGCCTCCCGGGTTCACACCATTCTCCTGCCTCAGCCTCCTGAGTAGCTGTTTACAGGCGCCCGCCACCACGCCCGGCTAATTTTTTGTATTTTTAGTAGAGATGGGGTTTCACCGTGTTAGCCAGGATGGTCTCCATCTGACCTCATGATCCGCCTGCCTCGGCCTCCCAGAGTGCTGGGATCACAGGCGTGAGCCACCACACCGGCCTAACATAGCAATCTTAAGTCTCCCCTATCAGTATCTGTGGAAGGGATGAATACTGACTTGAATTTTAGTTTTCTATTACTGTATAACAAATTACCACAAATTTAGCAGTTTCACACAGCATTCATTTATTATTTGAGTTTTCCACTGCTCAGGAGTTTGGTGCGGATTAGTGTTCAGGTGCTGACCAGAGGTGTCGTCTTGGCTGCAGCTTGCGTCCTCTTCCAAGCTCGTTAAGGCTGTTGGCAGAATTCCATTTGAATTATATTGTAGGACTGAGTTCCCTTTCTCTTGCTGGCTGTCAGCCAACCAAAGCCCCTCTCAGCTCTTAGAGGCCGCCTCAGGTTGTAAGCCACATGCCTTCTCATAGCTGGAAGGAGAATATCTCTTTAGTCTTCTAATTATAATGTAATATGATCCTGGGAGTGACTATCCCATGACCTTTTTCAGATAACAAGGGACTGATATCTCATTATATTCCCAGCAGGTGGGAATCTTGGGAGTCTTCCTAGAATTGTATACTATAGCTAGGATGAAAACTAACAAAGAAAATAGTCCAAAGATACTTGGGGCAAAAACAACAAAATAAAAAGCCTGGGTTTTTCCCAGTCTGGGACCTTGGCATTGAATTTGTTGGGTGGTCTGATCATTTATTCATGTGAGTTAGTTATTGTTTCACCTCATCCATTTATTTGCATTATCTTTGCTCACACTCCCTGATGCTAATTCCCTCTGACAGACACATGGAGTATCTTCCATACCCTTCCAACATTGATTTTAGGATTTTATTGTGAAGAACCAAGTTGGGAAAGTTTATTTTTAATTGTTACAGAAAGAATATACATAATATATTATCATATTTTATAGTAATACTGTATTCTGGTGTGAATTTCAAATACACTTAACATGGTGCTTATGAGCACAAACCATTGTCAGAGACACCCGAATTTGAATGCCAGCTTCATCATTTATTACTAATATGACCTTGGGCAAGTTACTTAACTCCTATAACCTTCTGTTTAGCTTAGGGGTAGGATTTAAATTCACTTACTTGTAAGCAGGTAATGTTCCAGTCCACAGAAGCAAAAATAAAGTTTTAGCATGGATAACTGTGCTACGATGAAATAATTTCTAAACAAATCATCATCATCATCACTTTAGATAATTACTGGATGTTAAGTTCCTTGCAGGCAGAGTTGTTCACTGCCCAACACATGGTACATAGAAGACAAATATCTATCTTGTCTACTTAAATAAATTAATTGTATGATCAATGGATCTTAACAAATGTGTATATTTGCTCTCAAATATAGAATTATAAATTGGCCTTTTAGTATAGGAATATAGTATCAGTATAAATTAATGTTAGGTCAGTGAGGTATCATATATCCCATTAAAAAAAACATATCTTCTTTGATTCCATATCCCTTCTAGTTACTGTTCCAATTTTCTGCTGCCTTTCACAGCAACCTTTCACAGCTGCCTTTCACAGCCTTTCCTCACATGCCAATTGTACTTCTTCACCTCTCATTCTCTCCTGGTCCATTGTAGCCCACTGTTCTCACCGCTCATTCATTAAACCTACTAGTATTTATTGAGTGCCAGGCACTGTTTTAGGTACTGAGGAAATAAATGTGAACAGCAAAGTAGCAGGGCGAGGAAATGTAGTCCTTAAATAAACAAATAAGTATTGGGCTTTCCTTTTTTCCTTTTTTTCTTTACCCATTTGTTAGTTTCGTTTACAGGTTTCTCTGGCGGCCTTTAAAAGTTAAGTTCTCCAGGGCTCAGTGCTGGGTCCACTTCTCTTATTTCCCTCAATTCTCTATCTACTTGATCTCATTCATTCTCTTGACTCTCAATCCATTTCTTGGCTGGTGACTCCGGTGTTTGTATTTCAGCCCACATTTCTTTCTTGCATATCCATAGGCTTACACTAATTGCTAAATTGCCAGGTTTCGATCCTGATTTCTCAAACCACCACCTTCCCCAGCCTGTTTATATCAGTCTTTTCTGTCTAAATGAGTAGTGCCCCTGCTTAGCCATATATGCAAACTAAATACCTACAGTAACCCTTGATTTTCTCCATCACACTTCATGCCTCAATTTTAAGTAATTTATTTCATTTTTATCTCTAAAATCCATGTGCAATTTCCTGTCTGCTTCTCTCTAGCTCTACTCCAAACACCCTGGTCCAAGATACCATCATGTCTGGCATGGAGTTTTGAAATCGCCTCCTAACTCATCTTCCTGCTTCTATTCTTGATCCCTTTTCGATTGTTCTTCACAGGAAGAACAGGAGTTAAACTTTTTTCAGGAGTTAAACTTGAAAAGTTTAAACCATATTAGTGTCATCTCCGTAGTTACAATTCCATTGGTGGCTTCCCATCGTACCCTGAATAAAAATAACCCTTCTTGCCATGACCTACGAGGATCCACAGCTCCAGTCAATCGTACTCCCTACTTTGTTCCACGCATTCTGGCCCTGAGTCACACCGGCCTCTTCCCACCTCAAGGCTATCAACACATTGGATGGGATCAACAATGGGAGGCTATCAACCTCCCATTCCTTGTGTAGCGAGTTTCAAAGTCACCCACTCAGAGAGGGCTGCCTGACTGCCCTGTCTGAGTAGCACCCCCCTACATTCTCTGTTGCAGTCTCCTTTTTTTTTTTAAAAAAAAAAAACAGAGTCTCACTCTGTCCCCCAGGCTGGAGTGCAATGGTGCGATCTCGGCTCACTGCAAGCTCCGCCTCCCGGGTTCTCGCCATTCTCCTGCCTCAGCCTCCCCAGTAGCTGGGACTACAGGCGCCCGCCACCACGCCCGGCTAATTTTTTGTGTTTTTAGTAGAGACGGGGTTTCACCGTGTTAGCCTCCTGACCTCGTGATCCTCCCGCCTTGGCCTCCCAAAGTGCTGGGATTACAGGCGTGAGCCGCCATGTCCAGCCTTTTTTTTTAAAGCTCCATAGCATTTTTTGTCATTTATAATCATTGTTTGTTTTCTTGCTTATTGTTTATCTCTCCACTGGAATGTAAGCTCCATGAGGCTATATCTGCTTATTAACTGCATTATATTCCAGGCACATAGTAAGCATTCAGTAAATATTTGAGGAATTAATGTATAATATCAGGGGGAAATAAATATACCTAATGGCAATAAGTATGTAAATACTGTTTTACATCTGGATCTGTCAAGACTTTCTGCCTTTTAGTTCAAGGAAAATATTCCATTTCTATTCTGTTTTTAAAAATCTCTGCCTAGAGGTTCTTGCCATGAGCTTAGTGATAATGTGATGAGCAAAAATGTCTGTTATCTAGAATTGACTATGACTGTGATCACCATGGTGCAAGGTTTGTGCCCTTTGTACAGCGCCTACCAAGGAGCTAGAAGGACTTTTTGCAGTCCTGGGACTAAACCAGCAGAGGGCCAACTAGACTAGAAGTTTATTTTGGAAGATTCCTGAACCCTGGTAGCCAGCCTCCTGGTCGTTAATAGCTTTAAGTGGTCGCTGGGGTAGAAGCATTTGCCAAAACATCCAGAGAGGATTGGGGGTTATGTTTAACTTCTCCGTGGGCGCCTTAAAAACAGCTTGGTAAGGAGCATCTTTCAAATGTGTAAATTCTTAGTCCAAAGCAAATAAAAACACAAAGACAAACAGGGACCTACTTGGCATTACATGAAAAAAAAGAGTGTGTATGTTTATGGCAGAGAACTCGGGTTAACCCGTAGCCGTACTATTTTCTAGCTATGTGTAATCCTGGCAACTTTCTAAGCCTAGTTCTCTCAAATAAAATCGGCCCAAATAAAATGGGCTTGTCTGGTTCGAGTTGGTGTTTGAAAAATAAAAATAAAATAAAATGGGGTTTCCAGCCCACTCTTACATGCAATCAGTGGGTGCCATTAGTAACTGAATTGCAGGCCTTCCTCCTCTCACTTTGTGGATTATCAACAACATGTTTTCAGTCTTTAATGGCTTACCCCAATCTTATTTATTTATTTATTTTTTGAGACGGAGTCTTGCTCTTTCGCCCAGGCTGGAGTGCAGTGGCGGGATCTCAGCTCACTGCAAGCTCTGCCCTCCCAGGTTCATGCCATTCTCCTGCCTCAGCCTCGCGAGTAGCTGGGACTACAGGTGCCCGCCACCACACCTGGCTAATTTTTTTTTCGTATTTTTAGTAGAGACGGGGTTTCACCATGTTAGCCAGGATGGTCTCGATCTCCTGACCTCGTGATCCGCCCATCTCGGCCTCCCAAAGTGCTGGGATTACAGGCGTGAGCCACCACGCCCGGCGCCCCAGTCTTATTTTTGATTACTCATCAGTTAGCAATACAGTTCAGATATGCTTCAGTGCACCATATATTTCAGCAGTAACCATCTTCTCCCAAGCCCACGGTTGCTCACTGGTCTCCAAGACATAGCTAAATGGCTACTGTTGTATTATCCCCAGAAACAAATAAAGCCACCAACTGTCCAGGGGACTGATTCGGAGAACCATGTGCTGTGAGATGGGAGCTCTTGGGAGTTAGAACTGGTTGTGCCAGCTGACACTGATGATGGCCTTGGATGGCCTTGGATGAATCCAACCAGAAAATGTGCTTTCGTTTTCAGAACATTAACAGCTTCAGGTAAAAGATAGGCTGCTCAGTGCCAGCTGTTCATTTTCCCCACAGTTCTAGGCCACCAGCTATCTAGCACTGTGATAACACCAGTTATCTAGCCATTAAGATAGAAATGTATAAACATTAGCATTTGATGGCTCTGAGTAATTTTAAATCCATATTGCCAAACATTAAAATACCCACGTTCTGCCAGGCGCGATGGCTCACGCCTGTAATCCCAGCACTTTGGGAGGCCGAGGCGGGCGGATCACCTGAGGTCAGAAGTTCGAGACCAGCCTGGCTAACATGGTGAAACCCCGTTTCTACTAAAAATACAAAAAATTAGCTGGGCATGGTGGCACGTGCCTGTAATCCCAGCTACTCGGGAGGCTGAGGCAGGAGAATCGCTTGAACCCTAAAGGCAGAGATTGCAGTGAGCCAAGATCGCCCATTGCACTCCAGCGTGGGCAACAAGAGCGAAACTCTGTCTCAGAAAAATAAAATAAAATAAAATACGTTCTTTTTTATAACACTGACTGTTGGACTTCAAATTTTTCACTTAGAAATAGAGACCCAAGGTTATTTTCTTAATAAATATCAAGTGGAGAAAGAGTCCTGTGGATGATAGGCTACTTGAAGAGGCAGATCCTAGGAGCCTCTACTCTGCCAAGCTTTGGCCTTGGTAAAGGAGCTGCAGTGCCTCCGCTTTGCCACAGGGTGGCAACAGTTGCTTCCCATTTGAGGATGGCGGGGTGAAGCAAACCTTGAACTGTAGGGGACACTCCGTTTCTGGCTAGTCTCTCTCTGCAGTTGGAGAAAGCAGTGCAGCTGACTCTTATGTGTCTTGACTAAAATCTGTTTCTAGGTTATCCTCACCCTGGAGGAACCAATGAGAACATTGGGCTTGTAGGCCATCTATGAATGGACTGGGACCCCCCAATGGGCCCATGCCTTTGGGGTTGCATTTTGTCCACCTTGAACTTCAATCCTTAAAGTCTCTGGATGATTTTCAGTTTTTCTCTGTTGAGCAATTGCATGGATAGTAATGAGAAATTCAAAAGAAACGGGGAGGTTCTTTTTGGGAGGGGAAAAGGATAGGAAAGATGAACACGATGACATGTTTGTGTATGTTTACAGTGTCCTGGGTATCCAGAAGGCACTTAGATGTATATGGCACAGGAGAGAAGTCTGGGAGAAGGAAGGGTTTCAGAGTCATCCCCGTGTTAGTGGTGGCTGATACTGTAGGGGTGGATGGGGTCACCCTGGGTGGGTATTGAGAACAACAGGGCACCTAAGACAAAGGCCAGGTAGATGAAGAAGAATCCACAAAGGAAACTGGGATAAATCGGCCAGAAAGGAGAAGAACCAGAAAGATAGAGTGTAATGAAAACAAGGAAATAGTGTTCTGAGAAGGGGCAGTGGTTACCACTGTCAGGATCAGCAGAGAGGTCACATGAAATAGTAAAAACCACTGGGTGTCAAGTGTTCACTGGGGGTAGCAACACAGAAGTTACTGCTTTGTGGGGGCTTTGGGCAGAGCCGGCTCTGGGGAGTAGTGGGGGCCCACCATACCTGCAGGGCATTGAGGGGATAAACAAGGAAGAAATGCAACGTATAAATGTGTTCCCAGAATGTCAGGTAAAGGGGAGATGAGTAATAGCTGTGGAAGGATTGGGGGAAGGGTGAATGATTTAGAGCTGAGGACGGTTTCTGTTAAGGTTGTTTTAGGATGTGAGAAATTGAACTTGCTGAAGTGCTAATTGCTAAGAACCAGCAGAGAGGGAGAGTTGAAGATGTGGGATGGGGAGCAGCAACTGAGGAGGTGGGAGAGGATGAGGACTGGAGCACAGGTGTTGGCCTGTGTCTTAGGTCTTTCCTTCCTCCATTGGGGAAAAAGGAAAGTGGCAAAGGTGTGCTGGGATACAGAGCTTTGGAGGTTTTGGCCTCGGGTGTTTGCAAGCACTGTACTAATTCTAGCCACCTTCTCAATTAAAATAAGAATACAAGAATGAAATGCAGTCTCCCAAATCTCTTTTCTTTGCCAGCTTATACATTTATACACCTCACTGATATGTCTTTTGATGTTTTAAAATTTTGGACAGCACTATTTTTAACTTTTACAACTATAACTATTAGTTATTTACTAGTTATAGTATAAACTTTTAATATTTACTTTTTATAACTCCTAGATGTCTTGTAGATCAAAAGATCTAAAGTGTCATCTTTGTCTATTTTATATCTTGTTTAATAGTAATAAATGTTTTAGTGAAGCATAAACCTAGAACAAAAATAGAAAATAATCTTAATAGGGTGTTGGGGAATTTTATGTGAACACTTCATGTGTCTTTGGAACAGTACAATGTAAAAAATTAGCACAGCCTTATTGCATGCACAAAATGTGAAATAATGTGAATCTTCCCCAAATAACAATTTGTCAAGAATCACAATTTCAAAGTAGTAGGCTTAGTAATTCTAAACAGTGATCGGTAGAATCTGTCATCATCCTCAATTAGGATTGTTCTTGAATTTTGTGAATTTTCAATCACGAGTGAGATCTTTAGTCCATTCCTTAAATAACATGTGACTATCTTAGAATGTCAAAGAGGGACACAGAAAACTAGATAACAACTCCTGAAATTAAGTTTGCTGTATGGCAACTACTAATTGCTCTGCCAGTTGTCTGACTGTAGAATAATCCTTGTGAAATATTCACTTCTATATGGGTTGGAGCCTGGGTAAGTCTGAGCCCCAGTGTATTTTCATGGAAGTCACTAGAACCAGATGTAAATCCTGGGTTCTCTAGAGAAACAGACAAACAGAACCAATAGAATGTATAGAGAGACAGACAGTTATTTTAAAGAGTTGGCTCATATAAACGTGGGGGCTGGCAAGTTGAAAATTTGTAAGACAGACTGGAGACTTGGGCAAGAGTTGATAATTTTGAGTCTGAAGACAGTCCAGAGGCCGAATTATTTCCTTTTCAGAGGACCTCAGTCTTTTCTCTTAACGTCTTCAGTGATTAGATGAAGTCCACCCGTATTATAGAGAGTAATCTGCTTTTCTTAAAGTTCACTGATTTAAATATTACTCACTTTAATACCTTCACAGAAAAATCTAGTGTTGGCTTATGATCACACAACTGGGTACTATAACTTAGGCAGTCTGACACATGAAATTAATAGGGTGTTGGGGAATAAAATTAACACAGCTGTCATCAAGCCTCCATTTCCTAAGGAAAATTATTATAATCCACATAAATATGGTATTTTGCTTTTGAATCTCTCTAACAGAGTCTGGGTCTCAAATTGTCTTCATGCACAGTGTCATGCTTACCCTCACAATCACTTACTGGAGGCAGGCAAGGAGGGTGAGTATTCCTTGCCACCTTTTACAGATGTGGAAAAAGAAACTCAGAGATGAGACTTATCTAGGGATACAGCTTGTCTTCTGGTCTGTTCAGGCTGCTATAACAAAAATTCCACAGACTAGGTGGCTTAAATAACAAAGGTTTATTTCACAGTTCTGGAGGCTGGGAAGTCAAAACCAAGGTGCTGGCAGATTCCGTGCCTGGGGAGAGACTGCTTCCTGATTCATAGGTGGCTGTCTTTCATTGTATTCACATGGCAGAAGAGATGAGAGAGCTCTCTGGGGCCTCTTCTATTACCATCACATTGGGGATTAGGCTTCAACATGTAAATTTTAAGAGGAACACAAACATTCCATCCATAGCCCAGCTAGTATTTGTGGGATCAGAGCCTGAGCTGGACCCCGGTGTTTTCCTCTTCTGTCTGTCCAGCACATCACACTGCTTCTTTGGCTAGTTGATCTAGTTAATTATAGGTACTGTACAGATGCAGAAAGGGTTAAACCTTGACCACAAGGTTTATCCTTAAGGATGATCCTCACTCCTGGGCTCATTGTTGATACTTCTTTGTATTTGCTTCTTTAGCCTCATTGTGAATTGGCATTGATGATGAGGAAGAGCTTGCCTTCCTCACTAGACTGAGATTTGCAAATGCGCACACAGTATCTGCCTCGCTTTTTGTGTCTGTAGTGCCTAGACAAGGCCAGGCAAATAACACCCACTAAATATTTGTTGAAACAACCTTGCCATATTTGCTCCCTTGAAATAGCCATTGACCTCTGAGACACCAGCAAGTGGGACTCGTGTTATTCCAGTCAAGATTATCCAGCCTTCGCAACATGTAAATATATCTGGAGCATTTTGACGGTAATAACCTAAAAGTCACCGGCATTTCTCACACTTGGTCACTTAGGACTGCAATTTCCTGGAAAGTGCTTTAAATATTTCTGGAGATTGCCGGGCATGGTAGCTCATGCCTGTAATCCCAGCACTTTGGGAGGCCGAGGCGGGCGGATCACAGGGTCAGGAGATCGAGACCATCCTGGCTAACACGGTGAAACCCCGTCTCTACTAACAATACAAAAAATTAGCTGGACGTGGTGGCGGGCACCTGTAGTCCCAGCTACTCAGGAGGCTGAGGCAGGAGAATGGCATGAACCCAGGAGGCGGAGCTTGCAGTGAGCCGAGATCGTGCCACTGCACTCCAGCCTGGGCAACAGAGCGAGACTCTGTCTGAACAACAAAAAAAAAAATTCTGGAGATCATAGAGCAAACACCATATATGATCCTAAGCAAAATGAATTGGTCCACTTCCGTGGGACAGTTACCCATTTTCCCCTTTTCCTCCCCTTGTCCCCTTAAGTTCGGCACCACCATGCCCTTCAGCTATGATTGTCTCCCATTACAGCTGGTGGGTGCCCCCAAGCTATGCAGCCTCAGGGTGTTCTGTTGTAGTGGGTGCTGACTTGGGAGGGCAACGGGAAATCCCCTCAGTGTATGCTATGGTCTGAATGTTTGTGTCTCCCCCAGATTCATATGTTGATGCCTAATCCCCACTGCAATAGTATTAAAAGATAGGGTCTTTGGGGGTGATTAGACCTTGAGGGCTTCACCCTTACAAATGGGATCCATGCCCTTATGAAAGAGGCCAGAGGAAGCTCATTTGCCCTTTCCACCGTGGGAGAACACAGGAGACGGAGCCACTGTGAGGAACAGGCCCTCACCAGACACAGAATCTACAGGCACTTTAATCTTGGACTTCCCAGCCCCACAACTGTGAGCAATAAATTTCAGCTGTTTGCATATCACTTGGTCTAAAGTGTTTTTTACAGCAGCCTGAATGGACCAAGACAGTGTGCCTTGATATCCCTAAATACTAGAGATTTTTTAGGGAAACATAGCTTTATTTTTTTTGCCCCTCTGCCCCACAACTTTCTGTAGGATTCACATGGGGGTGTTGGACATGGAGACAAAGCTAAGCACTGGGAACCATAGGTTCTAAAAATCCCAACCTTTCCATTGACCACTAAGGCATTATTTATTGTCTGGTGCCTTGCAGTTGGCAAGCCGACTCCTCTTTCCTTCAGTCTGAGCTTTCTCCTGGAGGTTTCTAAGTTCCTCATGCAAATAGGCTTCTGGCAGATGTCCTCTCAGACATATCTGTTCAAAACTCAGAGTGTTCAAGCTGGGACCTTGTTTCACGTCATCTGGAAAAAGAGGGAGGCAACAGGAAGTGTGCTGAGTCGCCAGGGAAGCCACAATCAACAATTTCCCACAGGTAATTGACAAAGTGGATCAGGCACATGTAGGAAGTGGAATTGTGGTAACTAAATTTTATATATTTTATGGCTTGCAGAAATACTTTTCTATATTCTGTCTCATTTGATACAGCCTTTAAAAAGGTTAAAAACGTTTATCATTGCCCACAATCACACCGCTTAAGCTTTACGAGTTAAATGTCCTGTTGGCAGGACAGCTGTGTTAGGTTTAAATGTATCTCCCCATCCAGCTGTCTTCTATCCTGGTAGACTAGTACAATCCTGTGATATTTAGCTGAGAAACTATAATGTGCTGGGAGTCGTGGTAAACCACATGTGGATTTGGGTGGATGGTGTTTCAGAGATGTGCCGCTTCTGGAAGCAAATGTTCTGACAAACTGCCTTCTTGGAACCAATTGGTGCAAATACCTTGGGCACCACAGTTCGTAAAGAGAACTGTCGAAGGCGGCTGGAAGGGTTTAGCAGACCACAATTTCGCACCGCAAATATAACTGAGCATGCACTTTTGACCATGGTGTGCTGTGTGATGTTAGTAGAGGAAGGGGCACTGGCGGTGGAGGCTGGGGGGGACTTGGTTTGTACAGCATAGCAGGAAGAGCACTGAGGCAGGATGCCCAGGGGTTCTAGTCCTAGCTCAGACCAGCTGCATGGCACTGAACAAGTCCCTTCAGTTCCGCAAAGTTTAGCTTCCCAATCTAAAAATAGAGATAAACTGTCCAGTCCATCTCACAGGTTTGACAGGGCAGTCAAATTAAATAATATATATAAACGTATTTTGGAAAGTATAAAATGGTACACAGGTGCAAAGCATCATTCTCATGGTCCTTAATTCTTTCATCCTCCTGTATATATATATATATATATATATATATATATATATATATATATATATATATATATATATATATATATGTATGTATTTCCAGGTGTAAGTGGCTTTGGGATTGGAAGATAGTCATATCTTTCAATCTTAAGTTTCCTTCACGTGGCCTCAGAAAACTGCCCCCAGTAGTTGCATGTTAAACTTTGCCAGAATCAGTTTCCCACCTGGCCTTAAGTGCTCTGCTCTGTATTGGTGTTGACCTTAGGCATGAGAAACATGTGACTGTAATGAGGATGGATGCTTTCTAAAAGCTCATAAATAGCAACTTTTTCATACTGAAATTTGCTCTGTTCCATTCTTGCCCTTGTGACTTTACAGATGTTGTATTCTGCCATGAAATAGGTTATAGAAGCAGGTTTAAAGTGAAGGAGACTATGATTCAGCTGCCAAACCAAAAGTGAAACCTGTCCATGTGGATATAGCAGATGTCAGTGGAAGAAAGGTGTGCAGAATTGAAAAGCTTGCTCTCCGTGGTTTGAGAACACACTGTCCTCTTGTGGGCGTCTCTGGCAGCCCATGATCGGTACACTTCCTTGAACCAAATAGCCTATCAAAATATTATCTAATACATTTCTACTTTTATTTACTCAATGAGTAATTACTGAGTGCCTACTACATGCCAGGAACTGTGGCCCTGATATGTTTCAAAACCCATAAACATGCATCTAACTTATTTATGTAAGATCTCCATCAGGCACTATCTTCTTTTAACCTTTCCAGTGAAGGTTAAACTCTGACCAGAGGAATTGAGCGTGTTTACAGAAAATCAGGAATGGAACAGAATTAGACTGCTTTTCCCCTTACTTCCCACTCCCTTACAGCATGTTCCATTGGTACTTGAGTCTAGAGGCATCCAGAGGTGTAAGAATAACCAAACACAACAAAGATTAGGAGTAACGAAGTGTTTTCATGCAGTGCCGCACCCCAGTGAGGTGGGCTGGCTAAAAGGATGTGATACAAACTGATATCCAGGGAATGGCAAAGAGGAGTAGCTGGGCCTGTCCATCATCTCTTATCATGACTCACAGCCCTTGTTTAAGGAATTTGAAGTCTAGGTGGATGAAAGGGACATCAAACTTAAAATGCATAGCTGCAACCTACTAGATAGAAGCTGAGAACCCTATATGTGGATCAGGCAGTCACTACTGGAGTTCAGGAGGGGAATAAGGCATTGGCCCCTAGAGAAGACATCACAGATCAAACTTGAGCTAGACTTCCTTGAGGACGGGTAGGATGTAGATGATAAAGATTCAGCTTCAGGCAGTAAGAAGTGAAAAGAAACATACTTTTTAACCAGTATGTGTTGAGTGGAGGGTGGTTATGGGGAAGGGAGGGTGGCAGGGAAGGCTGGATGCATTTAAGGCTGTCGCCAAGTTTTTCTGCTTAAAGAGCATCTGGGCACAGTGGCACATGGTCTATATTACTCAGGGCCCTAAGCTCACCTGAGAAGCTCCAGCCTCCCTTCTGCACCTTGCCCACAGAATGTTCTGTAACACTTCTCTGTCCTTGCAGATAAATAGGCTGCCCCAAATCTAGCGATACCCTCGATGGTGGCAGGGGTAGTAGCAGTGGCATTGGATGGGACGGTGGGTTGGATATTTCCCTTTGTATTGGTCAAATACATGCACAGATGGCACCAACACCACGGGGATCTCTGGAGATGAAGGTAGGTATTTCTTCAGTCACTCAGCACTTAACAACTGTCAGAGAGGGCCGGGCGTGGTGGCTTATGCCCGTAATCCCAGCACTTTGGGAGGCCGAGGCGGGTGGATCCCGAGGTCAGGAGATTGAGACCATCCTGGCTAACACGGTGAAACCCTGTCTCTACTAAAAATACAAAAAATTAGCTGGGCATGGTGGCGGGCACCTGTAGTCCCAGCTACTCGGGAGGCTGAGGCAGGAGAATGGCGAGAACCTGGGAGGCGGAGCTGGCAGTGAGCCGAGATGGCGCCACTGCACTCCAGCCTGGGCGACAGAGCGAGACTCTGTCTCAAAAAAAAACAAACAAAAAAAACCAAAAAAACTGTCAGAGAGATAATAGGAGAAATGTGCCCCTGCACTCGCACTGCACAGCATGTGCCGGATCATCTGTGAAATGGATCTTTCCTCTGGGAGCTCCATCTTTTCCAGGTGATTGTTCACTTGGACATATTTGATTATAAGCTCCCAGAGTGTCAGACACGGACTTCTCATGGCAAGTTAGACGATCCCAGGTGCCCAGTGGGTGGCAGTGCAGTGAGTGGCAGGAGGAAAACTTTCCTGCTGGCTTTTGGTCTGACCAAGACAGAGTGATACTTATCCAGGGCCTAAAATAACCATAGCAATAGGCCTTGCCAGAAGGGATCTGTGGCAGGCTCCTGGCACTACTGGTCAGTTCCCCCAGTGGCCTGTTCAAGTTTTTCTTTGCATGAGACAGAGGTTATGGCTGAGGAAACAGCCAGGCCAGGAGGCTAGCCTGCCCTGCAGAAGCCCAGGGGACCTTCCTGATGCCATCTTTCTGGTATGACAGCTCAGCAGGCCTGTGTCAACAAGCCCTGCACGGTTTGGACAAGATGTGAGTGACTAACGTTTTCCTCTGGAGCAGCAGGAATGGATGGGCCTGCTGGGAAGAATCCCTTTGCTGTGAGCTACCTAAGACGCCTGGCTCCTGAATTGAACCAGCAGGTCCCTTCTCTGTATCTTGCTTGCTTTCCTTTAAAAAAAAAAAAAATCCTCAGCAGATGATGGGAGGAATTATTTGCTGAGTTTGTCCAGACTCTGAATAGCCCTTGGTCACTGAAGTGTGCAAAAACATGGCAACAATGCAGGTTCTATGGTCTGAAAATGTTTGCAAAGGAAGGAGAGGAAAGAGCAGTTATTCTGACAGTAAATGATACATAATACTAATATTGGAAGGATTATTTTTTCCCTGTGTGGTCAGTGAATAGAATTTTTGGCAGTCGTCTATCATTTAACTAGGTCTGTATAGAGCACACTGGAGCCTGGTAAGGACCTCTGGCTTTTTTTACAGTCAGAGTTTTGGTGCCTAGGGGTCTGGGCTGTGGACAGGCGAGATGTACCTGCAGGCAGGGAGTGGTCAGCTTGCTCTCAGCTTGCCAGATCCGTGACTCTGACGAGAGAGTTATCAGTACCTACAGAGCTTCCTCCTGCAGCCTGCCTACCCACCCAGGCCATCTTCTGACACTGCCTCAATGTGTCCATGCTCCAGGCAGGTCAGATCACCTCCCTCATTCGGTTTGGACATCAAGGAGACTGTGTGAATGACCATCAGCCTCTCTCCAGTCTACCCAAAGGTATCAGGTATCCAGCACTATTCTGATGGAGAAGCAGTAAGAGTGAGCCTACCTTAGATCTATTAATAGAGCTCATTCAGCCAAGGAAAAGGATCCAACTAACCCAGATGACTACATGAGCCTAGGTCATTCACATGTAGCTTTGGTGAGTAATGAGAGATGCACGCATGATACCCCTGCTCCTGTCCTTTGGTGCCCTGCACCCCTCTCAGGTGCTCTCCAGAGTCAGCCCTTCTGACTGCAGGGCAGACCCCAAAAGGAGATCAGCTTTTCACCTCGATTACCCCTAGTACTTAAGACATTTGCCTTCATGAGTTTTTGGTAATCAATATTGTACAGCCAGTAATTTAATTTTTTCATGGTATCAATCTGATATTAAAGCTCTAGAATCTGGGAAGAGCACAGCAAAGCTTACCTGACTGACTCCACTATTATATTTGGAATGGATAATTGAGATATAATTTAAAGGGTAGAATATATTCTTTCTATAACTGCAAAAGTTTGCTATAACTCACAAAAGGAAATACAAAATTGAGTAATAGTGTTGGAGGAGAAGGAAGCAAATATTTATTTTGTATCTACTATGTGCCAAACACTTTATGTATTGTATTTTGCCCTCAGAAATCATATGCAGATGATTCTATTTTACAAGGGAAAGTTGAGGTTTAGAGCAGGTGAGCAACATGCCAAGATGGAACAGAAGGGGCATAGAACCTGGATTCAAGTCAGAGCAGGGTTTACACCCTCGGTACCATTTAGATGTGGGTCAGATAATTCTCTGTGGTGGAGGCTGCATCCCTGGCCTCTACCCACTAGATGCCAGTGGCATTTCCCCCATTTGTGACAACAGAAAATGTCTCCAGGCCAGGTGCGGTGGCTCATGCCTGTAATCCCAGCACTTTGGGAGGCCGAGGCGGGCGGATCACCTGAGGTTGGGAGTTCAGAGACCAGCCTGACCAACAGGGAGAAACCCTGTCTCTACTAAAAATACAAAATAAGCCGGTTGTGGTGGTGCATGCCTGTAATCCCAGCTACTAGGGAGGCTGAGGCAGGAGAATCACTTGAACCCGGGAGGCAGAGGTTGCGGTGAGCCGAGATTGCACCATTACACTCCAGCCTGGGCAACGAGCGAAACTCTGTCTCAACAAAAAAAAAGAGAAGAAAGAAAACATCTCCAGACATTGTCAAATGTCCTCTGAGGGTCAAAATCAGACCCGCTGTGGAGACCCATGGCTCTAGAGGCTTTGTTTTTTCTGCCATCACACACTCGGAGGGAAATTTGGGGGTAACTTTAAGGATGCTATATGGATAACTTATGTTTCAGTATTTTTTCTTATGAAGATAATAAAAGCTGTCGTGGATCATTTCGAAAATAAAATAAAGATTGTTTAGAATCGTACCACCTAGAGATACCCACTTTCAGCATTTGGCTATGTTTTCTTCCAGTCTGTTTTCTGTGCACACATAGGTAGTTTTTAAAATCATACAGTAAATCTTTTATCTCTTTTTATACTTAATATTATATCAAGAACCTATCCCTATATTAAAATCAGTGTAATTATTTTTAGTAGCTGCATTATATCCTATTATATGTTTATGCCTCAATTTACTCAAGCATTTTTGCAAATGGCCATTTAGAGTTTTTCCAGTTTATCCCATCATAAACACAGCTTCAATGAACATATTTGTGCATAAACGTTTGTGTACAGTCTTGATAAATTCTCTGGGGTATATATTTCTATGAAAAGAAGAATAATTGGGTCAAGCTCTGTACCTATTGTTTAGGCTGCATTTCCTACATACTGTCAGGTTGCTTTCTGTAAGTGTTGGACTTATATGGCTGTGCTTTCTCTCTCACTTGTTTGTGGGTGTCTTGTCTCACTTGTTAACTATAAGTATTAACTTTTTAAAGTATTTTAATTTGATAGGCAAAAATGGCATTTCATTGTTTTATTTGTGTTTATTTGATGACCAATGAAACAGAACATCTCTTCCTATTATATAGCTTTTTGCTTTTCTTAGTCTCTGAAATATTTGTTAATACGATGCATTGCTTCTTTATTAGATCTAATTTTTGTCTATCCACTTTAAGATTTGTTTCTTTCCATTTTCACATGTAGACTTAAAACTACAGTTCTTTAAGCTATTTAGCAGCAGTAGAGGAAGACTTGAGGCAAGTTGGAGGAGAGATGAAGGGGAGTGCTTTTGTATAAATTGGAGATCACCTCAACTATAGAATTAACTGAGCCCTGAAGTTGGAAGAAGAGGGAAGAATGGCGAGAGAGGAGGTAGTGCAGAGGTGTGCGGTCAGGATTTCCTGTAATGGCCACCAGGTGGTGCCATCTGCCCGGGACGATTTGATGTCTCTGGTGCAGGAGAGCGGAGAGCTGGGGAGAGTATTAATAAGGTGGTCACAAGCGAGGTGATTGGAGTGCCATTCATACATGTGGGACATTAGTTGGGCCTCTGTAATTAACCTGTCAATGATCATGAGTTGGTGCACGTGTGTTTGTGTGTAGAGCGGGGAAGAGAAGATTAGGGCTGTTAAAAAAAAAGAATATATATATATATATATATAATATATATAATATGTTATATATACACATATGTATACATATATACATATATAACATATATAATATATGAATGGCAGCTTTATTGAGATATAATTCACATACTATACAATTCAACAATTTAAAGTATACAATGTAATGGTTTTTAGTATATTCACATAGTAGTATCAATTTTAGATTTTTTATTGCCCCAAAAGAAACTCCATTCCCCTTAGCCATTCCCCCCATCTCTGCCTCCTTACTCCTTCCCTCAGTCTCCTTTCCCCAGACCCTGGAAACCACTACTCTACTTTCTATGTCTGTGAATTTGCCTCTTCTGGACATTTCATATAAATGGAATCAGAATAGGTGGTCTTTTGTGGCTGTCACTGCTTGTCCTAGCCAATGCTATACCAGCTTGACTTTGTGGCAGGAGGCATCAGGGTATCCAGATAGACTTACTGTTTTAAAAGAAACAGCATTTCCAGGCTGGCTAGGACAGAGAAAACTACCTAGAACAATACTTTTCCTACCTGGTGGATCATCAGAATTACCTGGGAAGCTTAAAATGAAAGATTCCTGGCCCCTAATCTCTCCAGGAATTCAAATATGGTAGTTCCAGGGAGTCTGAGCTGCTTGGGATTTTTTTCAGTGCCACCAGTGATTCTAATGATTGTCTAGCTGTAAGCAGTGGGACTCAAGTTTTGAACAGAGGCATGAGAAGAAAATGGCATTTCCCTGCAGATGGGCTGTACCAGCTGCAGCTTCAAGTCCAGTGCCTCTTGTGGGAAAGGAGCCACTCCCTTGTCATTC
Organism: Homo sapiens; assembly: GCF_000001405.40. NCBI lineage: Eukaryota > Metazoa > Chordata > Mammalia > Primates > Hominidae > Homo > Homo sapiens. Next base: position 2,182,258 of record NW_012132920.1, read on the forward strand.
GCCACATCTACACTGCAACGCTGGTTTATGTCAGACTATCATCTTTGACTCGGCATGACAACAGTGCATATTTGAAGGCCATCAAACCAATGATATTAGCCTTGTTTACGGTTTAGCTGGAAAATATCTCCCATGTGGTATAGTAAGAAGAGCACTGAATTTGAATTCTGAAGCTCACCAGAGTGTTCCACTGACTAGTCTCAGGGCTACTGTGAGCACCCAGTGAGAGTGGCCATGAGAGGTGACACACTGCACAAGTCAGGGCACTGGAATCATGGGACAAGATGGGACCTTAGAGAATGTCTTGTCTGCCTGCCTCATTTCATAGTAGAGAAAATGAGGCCCTGAGAGGTAAAGTTCTTCACTGAAGGTCATACGCCAGCTATTAGTAGTGTAGCCAGCACCAGGGTGTCCTAGCCTTTGCCTCCTTCTGTTTCTCACTGTGCCCTCCTTCCCTACATTGCTCTCTTTTGGGATCTGAGGAATCATATTCAATCACCTTTCATTTTCAGAAATGAGGAAACCCAGGCCTCGTTTGTCCATGGCTACAAAACTAATTGATTTATATTTGCTTTGGATGACTAGGAGTTAAAATAATGACAGGTGAAAAATCCAAGATGGCGTTTGTATACCGCTTTTAAGAGCAATCCACAGCAGATTCAAGTTTTGTGAGGCCTGAAACTCATGCAATTTGAAAACTTTTTTCAAGAAAAATAACACACAATTGCAAATGAAAAGTTAGGTTCCAGGCCTTGGAAGCAGTCTGCGCCCATGAGGGGCCCTCATTCACTTCACTATAAATCCACCTCCAGGAGCAGTAATAAAGAGATCCCTACTCATGTTTGTGCTGCTAGGTTCTTCTGTTTGTATAAATAGCATGTGTCCTGCTAAGTCACCTCCACTCTTATAAAATGGAGGCCATTCTGCCAACACATGTGTATTGAACATCTCTTTATCTGTAAGGAATACAGAAGGGAACCAAGAAAGGAAACTAAGCTACCATCTCTAACTCAGGAGATGAGGCACAAAGGCAGAATGGAGGAATTCCCTCCCTGCTGTGGTCTGGGCCAGGGTGCCTATGGGAGCCCAGCCTCTAGGAGGTCTCCAGTTTTAATCTCAGATAATCTTCCTCTTGTAGTCATTCTTCTCCCTCTGCCTATCAAATGCAGATGTTGAGATGAGTAAACCCTTTGGGGTTTTTGGATGAAAAACTTTTCAAGATTTACATGACATTTTTGGGGTTGTGCCTACCCAAAAAAGTCTTATATCTCACATCACTGCCTTAGAAATGAATTAAAGGTGCATTTATCCATCAGGGCCACATTCCCTTAAAATGCACCTAATAGCACTGAAACAATTAGAATAACACAGGGATCCTGAATAATCCATGCCTCTTGTCAAGAAATTTTTTTCTATTTTTATTTTTGTAAAACAGCTTCCTTATCCAGTTGTGTTTAGTTTATTTAAACGATCACATCAGCATTAGGTTCTGGTTTGGGGTTTTTTTTTTTATTTGTTTGTTTAAGTCTCGTTTCTGACACTTTCTGAAAGATGCAACATGGAGATAGGCCAGGAGGGAAACTAGTTTTAGGGTGTTCTCATTACATTCATTTTATGTCATTTTTTATTATTAGGTTTACATTATTGAATTCCTGTGGAGAAGAGGAGTCAGAGCTGTGAATAAGTCATAAGTCCCTATAGGTAAAATCAAGTACTATTTGTCTCTGATCAAAATTGCCCTTTCCATTGATAGGAGAAATGACTGGGCCTCCTTGTCATCCAGAGTTCATTTTGTTTTTCGTGGCAGTTTCACTGTCTTTGGGAATTGAGCTTTTTGAAATGTTAAAGCACGAGAAGCATGAACACCTTGGCAGGGTTTGCAGTATCTCCTTCTAGTGCAGGATGGAGGGCTCCAGAGCTGGCAATTTGAGGAATGGCTGGTGGCTTCTGATGTCACCTGCCACTCATGTGTCCCTCCCTGTTTTGAATCATGGATCTCAAACATCCTCAAAAGCTCTTCCCTGGTAATTTCAAAACTCTGAACAAATCAATCCTAAGAAAAAATAAACAAACATGCAGAAGAGCAGAAGGATATTTAGGATATGGTTCTAATTAAAATTTTTAAGTTTTCCTTTTTCAAAATCCTGTATGAGCTATTAAATAGGGAAAAACAAACTTCTGAGTAGGAAAGAAATAAAGGCCATTACCCTTAGAGATTTTGAATCTTACAATAAACAAATAGGTCTTCTTTTCCCCGAATGTTTCTTCTTATCAACACAAGGGAGTTGAGTGATGGCTACAGCTCTAAAATACTGAACATGGCTGCCTACTGAATTCAGCATACATACGTAGGGATATGTTACATAAGATGCACATACATACTTTATTTCTATTAGCCTGTGAAACAGTGAACATGCCTGCTCTTATAAAGCTTCTAGTAAAGGAACTACAAAAGAAACACATCTACTGGGCATTCTCACACTGGCTGAGGTAGGTTGGAACCATCTGGATTCTTGCCTGTGGCATAGTTAACCTCGTGACTATCCAGTTTTCCAATTATCCAGGCCCATTTACCTCTGCTCCCACTCAGCGAGCCCTTTGGCTATTTCTCTGTTCATTGGCACCTAAAGTCAAGGAGAAAGAAACGAACATTTATTAAGTGCTATGTTTGTACCAGTTAATCTTCTCAATGAAGTATTATTATCACCCCTGTTTTACAGAGAAGGAAACTAATATTCAAAGAGGTAAGATAACTTGTTCAGGACCACATATGTTTTTAAGTATAGAGCTCATGCATTATAAAGTGACCACCCTAGCTAACATTTATTAAGCACAATATTTGCCAGAATTCTTGCAAAAAGCCTTACAAGGACTATTTTATTTTATCCTCATACCAACGGCTTAAGGATGGTATTACTTAAGTATTCTTGTTTTACAGATGAGGTCATACAGCTAAGGTGATGAGGCCAATATTCAAACTCAAGCATCTGGATTGCAGGCTGCACTTTTGATCGCCATGTCTAGCCTCCTCTATACACCTGCTCTGACCGATTTGGTATTCACCACGCCCAAGAGGCTACTGAACACCTGAAATATGGCTGGCTGGAGTTGTGATGTACTCTAAGTATAAACTACACACCCTATTTGGAAGACAGTATGCAAAAAAGAATATAAAAAGTCTCTTTGGCAATTCTTTATATCAATTACATGTTGAAATGATAATTTGGATATATTGGGATTAAAAATTATTAAATTTAATTTCACTATTTCTTTTTACTTTTTGAAGTGAGAAGACTAGACAATTTAAAATTACAAATGTAGTTCATATTCTATTTCTATAGAACAGCACTGCTATATACTATTTTAAAATAATATATAAAGGGGACTAGAACTGACTCAGGCCAACATTATTTTTCATCAATAGTTCTAGTTAAAAATTTGGTTGGAAGTGGGTGGATGGGAAGGTTGAAGCCCATTTTTAAAGATAAGTTTGGTGTTTTTATGAATTTGAGTTATGTGTGCTTTCTTCACCCGTTTTACCATGTGTGGGTAAGAGACTTGCCATTTTTAAGAATCAGAAGAATTCTGTGAGGTGTATTTCCAGTGTCTGTGTGTAGTGCTGCAGCTGTCTGAGCGTATTGCCGGAGGCACCTCCTTTGGACTTTAAGGCACGAATTGCTCATCACTGTCCACACAGCTTTGTGGCCGCCTTTGAGTCTATCTCTTTTAACATAACATTGAGTTCTGGCTCCAGGTCTGGCACAAAGTTGATAATAACTAGTGAATACTGTTTTGTTTGGTTTGTTGTAGTTTTATTCTTTTTTTTTTTTTTGAGACAGAGTCTCACTGTGTCGCCCAGGCTGGAGTGCAGTGGCACAGTCTCGGCTCACTGCAGCCTCCGCCTCCTGGGTGCAAGTGATTCTCCTGCCTCAGCCTTTCGAGTAACTGGGACTACAGGCACACACCAGCATGCCTGGATAACTTTTTTGTATTTTTATTACAGATGGGGTTTCACCATGTTGGCCAGGCTGGTCTCAAACTCCTGACCTCAAGTGATCCACCCGCTTCGGCCTCCCAAACTTCTGGGATTATAGGCATGAGCCACCGGACCCACTTTATTCTTAATACCTATTGCCAGGCAGAGGTTACATGGATATAAAAGAGAGAAATTGGGAATATTTGTATGAGATGGGAAACCACAGGCCAGGAAAGCATTACCAAAGGGTTGTAGAGGATTTAGTCTGGGCCCCTCCCCAACGTACACACCACGTGCCTTCTCCTCTCGAGGCTAGAATTAACCCTCACCCCACCACCAGCTGCCAAAAAATAGTAGTAGCTGCTGGGAACTCAGAAACAGAAAAGAATTTTCTATGAGATTACTGTCTAAAACAAATGTTTATTCTAGCCATTTATAAAGAACACTTATGGATTTACAGCAGCTTAGGATAGTGAAAAAGAAGTAGAGGAATGGTAATTAATTCAGGTACGAATTTGTAAGGCCAAGTGAGAATCACGTTCCTTGTCGTGGCCCAAAAGGCCTTGTCAGACTCAGATGGAGTCTCCTCGTTTTAGTCTACAGACATATGGGTGGAAGTGACATGATGGAATAATTACATTCCCAAGCCGTGTACCCAAAATCTGTGCTAGGACCACTCCCCTGGCCAGTGCGGAACCAGGTCAGCTGGTGGAAGGGGCTCTGAATGGGCACAGCGCTGCCAGGCCCTGCCACTCCCACCTCATCCCATCCAGAATGGGTCCAACACAGTTCCTGCTAACCCTTATCCACACCTCCTCAACCATAGTCCCCAGTGACCTGCTTCCTCTGTGAAGCCCAGGCTGACTGGAAGGTGACCCTCAACAGAAACCATCAGAGAGCTTTGGGTCTGGGGCGGAGGGTCACCTCCACTCTCACGGTGGTGTCTTGGTGTTAATGTCATCTGTTGGCTCAGCCATTCATTGCTTCTCTCTTCCCTAAGCTCCTGCAGATCTCCTTTACTCGTTTCTTAAGTGTAGGAAGCTATCTCCTTGGATGCTGGGTCACTAATTATAAACTTCCTATGCATTTACCTGGCTCTGGTTTGGCCCCTAATGTCTTTATTTCTGCCTGCAGGATTGTCATTGCCATTGCCCCTTTTCCTTACCTGGGAACCCGACATACTCTGCTTATCCCTTGAGCTGGCACACCAGGGGGCCTGGAATTCCTGTTGGTGAAGTCACTACTTTAAGAGAATTATCCCAGAAATCCTCTAAGTTGCAAATCCTACAGGAGCAGAGTACTACATGTTAATTAGCACTCATTATCATGTTAGTAGAGAAGCTTACCCAAAGGAATGATACATAGGACCTGCTATGTCATTGAGAACAGAGAGGTGGGGCTCAGGTTCTGGACAAATGATGTCATAAGTAAGTGTAGTTTCAGAAAGGAAGATGAAGTGGGAGCTTTAGATAATTGGAGGCGGTAGGCCTGTATATGGAACCAGATGCTAGAGAGCCCAAGTCCATATTTTTACTTTTTCACAGTTTTGTGTCCATATCCTCACCGAATCCCAACCACCACCACCACAGTTCTATATCCCGTTATTTTTTCAATAATAACTGATACCTCAACTTAAGCTCCACTCTGACCCTCAGCTAAGCCATATAATTTCAGCAAGAATTATAAAATAAAGTTTTTAAAGGACAAACATGAGCCTTAACCTTAGTATAAAGACATGCTTAGCCTTCATACAAATTGCCAAGTTGAGACTTCATTTCAGACGGCAAATAAAAGTTACATGAAGGAGCTAAAAGTGCTATTGCAAATTACCTATTTGAAACGGCTTTTTCAAAACCTGCTAAATTCACACCTCTCCTAAAAATGCTTCACTTCCAGATTATTTTATTTTGGGGTTTTGTGTGTATGTGTTAGAGGGGGTGGGGTTTGTGGTGACTACAGAAAAATTAGTTAAATTCATAGGATAAAATTTGAACTTTTGCAAATGAGTAAACAGCCAAAACAAACACCGCTTCAGAAAAAAAAAAAAATACACGTTTTCTCCTTTTGAAAAGCAAGCAATGCTTAAGCAAAATACCTTAAAAGTTAACTAAAAAGCTTTTCTAAAATAAACAACTCTGCTTGTGATCCTAAATTGGGACCACATGTAGATGTGAAAGCTACAAATGCAGTGCACTCAGAATTTGCGTCTCTGCCTTCACTGTTTGCGTGCCTCTGAGTAGATGATGATAATGTTGGCTTTGGTCCCCAAGGAGCCTGAGTTTTTTAGATCCTAGTATGAGGGGGAAAAGCAGAAGAAGAAAGAGAAGGAATGAAAACAAATGCCTTTCAAGACAAAATATCCGAATGGGTTTCATTTTGCTTATCTGCCAACAGGCTCAACCCAATTTAGATCTCTCCTACAAGGACAGGATAGTGCCAGCCAGGGTGTCTGCCCTTGCCGGCTATGTGGGGCAGTCCCTGTGAGGGACCAGGCTCGAATTCAGAGCAGAAGGATCACTCTAGCAAACTGCCAGGGCCAGCCCTCTGCCCTGAGGCAAGTCAATGAATTAGCCAATTCAGCACAGATAGAATCATTCCTTTGTTTTCCTCAATTACCAAATGCTGTGTGCTTTGGGGGTCACTTGTCATGTGAGTTTAGAGAATGTGGATATTGCAACATAAACCCTCACCATTCTAAACAGCTTAAACTAAATTCTGTTACTGGGGAGGAGAGCTGAGGTGATAATATCCATCTCTAAGTATAAACTATTGTGTGTTCATTTTCCCATTATGGGAGACAAATTTCTCTTCTCCGCTAGTGCTCATGATCTCTTCCACCAGGCACAAACATCAGATGTGTGTTTATGTGGACATATTTTGTCCCCTATTATTGGAGAGCAAGCTCCTTGAGAGAAGGGATTATGCTGCCTGGATTTGTAACTTTGTTAGGCAAAGCATGACTTTATTTAGTTTTGAATTGATGAGGAGGCACTGATGTTAGTAAAAAGCTCAAATGTCCTGAGCCCTGTTGCTCAATACCTCAAACACAGGACCATGATCACCACAATGAAAAATATGCAGGATCATTAATTTCGGCTCTGTTAATTGTGCTGTTAGGAAATGTTGACTAGATAGGAAAAGCAGCTAACGTTCATGGAGTGCTTATTACGTACCAGGTACTGAGGTAAGCATTTTACATACAGTATCCGATTTGTATCCTCCCACAAGCATGTTATCCCCGGGTTAAAAGGGGAGGAATTGGGGTCCAGTGAGATTGGGAGGTTATGAGAATCCCACAGTGTGTGGCAGAATGTGGACTTGAACTCAGGGCCCTAACAACAGGAAGCTATAAAAGCCTCTTTGTATAAAAAGTGCTCTCTTTCTGTGGGTCCTCAGTAAATGAAAATATTTGCTTTTCATAAATAGGTTTGAATGTTGGGACCCTCATTTCTCACCAGGAGTCAAGGCCAAAAGGTCTTATAAATAAGAGTGAATTTTGAGAAAGGATGTGTGAAAATGACTCTGTTCTTTTCTTTTATCTCACTTCAGTTACTTGGGATGGAGGAAGCAGAAACTGGGAGTCAGACATCTAAAATATGAAGTTCCACCCTCATGTTGGCCATTTCTTTCAGCCTCCTTTCCCCATTCCTAGGGGCCAATCTGTTTCTCCCTCTCCTGCTCTTTCTCTTTGCCTCTGTCTTCTTCTTTCCTGTGGAGACAATAGCGTGTGGTGGAACTGCCTGAGTGCTTACTGAGAAGGAGAAACCAAGCGCAGATTGTACAGAAGCTGACGAATGAGTCCTCTGATTGTGGACAAGTGATGGCGCTTTTTGTAAAATTGTGTATGTGTTTACCTCAAGTAGTGAAAAAAAAAAAAGAAAAAACAACTTTTGGGGCAAGTTGGACCTTAGGAAGGAGATTTCTGGGTCTCGGGGTTTCTCTTAGCCCCCAGTGCCTGGTGCCTGCGGCCGGTGTCGCCTCAGGGAGTCCCAGGCTGTTCTGTGGCCTCCAGAAGGAGCCACCCCGCCCCTTCCTCGCCCCACTCCGCTTTGCCTTCCCTTAGCCTGGGGAGCCTTGCCGCCTCTCCACCTTCTCTCCTGGTCTCCTCGGGCGCTCTCGCGCTGGCACCTTCAGCTCTGTCAGAGTCTGAGGGGAAACCAAAGGAGGCCAGGCGGTGTCTGGAATGCCCCATCCGACTGCTTCAGGCTCCCAGACCGCTGACAAAAGGAAAACTGGTCCGTCGCTTTCTGAATGATGTATCGAGACCGCAGTGTATTTTTAGCATCTGCTGTTTGTGGTAACATAAGTGAAAACTGCTGGACCCGTTCCCTTCAGCTGAATGGCTGGTATTCAGGGGCCTGTGCCCGCTCCCTGCCAGACGCTCCTCACAGAACTCCCTTTTTACGAGGTGGGCGACTGGCTCCCTGGCACCAGGCTGCCCCACCACAATTCTTTATTGCCCAGCGCCAGTGCCCAATTGCATGAATCCCCAGGGCTGCAGGCAGCGTGAGGGGTGCGAATGGGACGATGCTGGCTGCGGGCTTGTCAGGGTGTTCCCAAGTTGTGTGGCAGAGTCTGGAGGGCAGGGGTTGTCCGGATGTTCCAAACCTCCAGCGTGAGGTGGGCACTCAGGTGCGAAGGAACCATGGTGGCGAGGCCCACAGGTGGCGTCCCATCCCAGAGCCATTTTGCCGGGGCCTGGCTCTGCAGTAGTCACTGACACCGGAGATCCCCTGAGTGACCTGGAAACTATGAGAGACCCCAGGTACCCCGACAGGTCATTCTACTAACTGTGGCTGTGGAGCTCCAGCTCATCTTTGGAAGACGGAAACGCACTGGAAAGGGTATGAATGGACGCAGAAGGCCTCGTGGGGGCTCTCTCAGTGCCACTGTAGAGTGAACACAGGGCTGGAATCCAAAATAGCACCAACTTGCTGAGTGGCTTTAGGCAAGAAACCTTTCCCCAGGTCTCACTTTCTCACTTAGAATGATGAATAGTGATTCTTGTCCTACTGACCTCACTAGGACGTTTTTAATAAGGATGAAAGCACTTTGAAACTGTTGAAACCATAACATCACAAAAAAAAAAAAAAAAAAAAAGAGACAGAGTGACGAAGTAACGCAGGTCCCATTTATGTTCTTAATTTCTGACCAACCTTAACTTCCATCAAAACTGCTTCCACTAGCCCCAGCCAGGAGAGCCGTTGCATCGTGGTGGGACATCATCAGGCTCTCCAACGGACATCGCTTATACTATGAGAACTCACGTTCAAGGGAGGTGTTTACCTCTAATTCCCACAGAACTAGCGTAAGTAAAAAATGGGGCAGCAGGATCCTTTCCTTGCAAAGTGTGAGCAAGTGCCTCTGTAGAGTAAAACTTTAAGTAAAAGGACTACAACGGCAGTGACAGCTCCTTTATCTGAAACTGCAGACTTTTAAGAAGGTTCTTAGCAGCCACACCGATGTCACAAATTCCATAAAGCAAGATCACCTAGGCACTCTCTCGGAGCTAATTTTATCTCATTTTATATATAATTTTAATAAGCCTGGCTCTCTCATTTTCTAGCCCCTTATTACTGAAAATGTGGCTCATGGGCCAGCAGCATCTGCACTATCTGGGAGCTTGTGAGGAATGCAGAATCTCAGGCCCCACCCTTCACCTTGAATCAGAATCCACATTTGGATAAGATCCCCGTGTGTGTGTGTGTGTGTGTGTGTGTGTGTGTGTGTGTGTGTGTGTGTTGTGCGGGGGAGGGTAAAATTAGAAGAGACTTGCAGGGCCTAGGCGCACTCTCAATTTATTGTATTTCATTATGGAAAGGATTTGGGATGACTAGAATTAATAACTTAGAAGGAGTGAGGTGACAAAGAACATTAAAAACTATTGCATCTGGGACCATTTAATATAGGTTTGTTTGTTTGTTTGTTTTGAGACGGAGTCTCACTTTGCCGCCCAGGCTGGAGTGCAGTGGCATGATCTCGGTTCACTGCAACCTCTACTCCCCAAGTTCAAGTGATTCTCCTGCCTCAGCCTCCTGAGTAGTTGGGATTACAGGCGCCTGCCTGTAATTGTATTTTTAGTAGAAATGGGGTTTCACCATCTTGGCCAGGCTGGTCTTGAACTCCTAACCTTGTGATCCACCCGCCTCTGCCTCCCAAAGTGCTGGCATTATAGGTGTGAGCCACCGCACCCGGCCCATTTAATATAGTTTTATATCCGAATGCCCTTTAATACTCTGAGAATACACTGTTACAACACTGTATAGTCATTGATATTCCCAGTAATAGTCCCAAATTATCAAGAACAGGCAAAGTCATATTCTCCTGCTGTTTAAAGTATTTACCTAATGTTCATAGTGGAAAATTCTCCTTTAAAATGGTTAAATAAATCTTGATCTTAAACCGATGCTTCAGTGATCTGAATACTACATGAAACAGCACGTTCTCTCTAAAGAGATAAGTGAGATGGTACTATAATCGGAAACCTCTGTTAATTCGGATTTTGTTTTTTATGCACATTTTAGAGAGTCAAATTATATCAAGATAAAATATGATAACAGAGATTTACTCTAAAATTAAACAATGAAAAAAACCCTACCAGTGCAACAAAAAGGCCATGGCTGTTCAGAGCCAAGTAAAACTTTGGGGGTCAGAAGGTATTTAATTTTCATATTTCTGTTTACTAGGTACTAACAACTGATCTTCAAAATCATAGAGACAGGAAAATGGATTTGAAACCCAAGGGAGTTTTTAAGTAACCAGAAAAGTTAGTGCCCTCTTCTGGACAAGCGATCATTGGAGTTGTTAGAGGTTGTCCTTGGGAGTGCTGTTGGGGGCTTTGTTAACACCGAACAAGACCATGAGTGGCAAAACTTGGAGCTGAGGTTGATCAGGTCTCCAAGGCCAGGGAGAGACTCAAACCAACCAGGTCAACTTCCCAGCTGAATTGCCAACCTCAAAGGGATACGTACAGAAGGGAGAATTGGAGGCACATAGCAGAGGGTGAGAATGCAGAGAAGAGCAGGATGCGGTCAAAAGATTGGCAGATTTTTATGGAGGGTTCCAGCACAGGCCAAGAAAGAGATTTAAGGGTTCTGACTCAAATAAGACCAACTGTCCTTCTTTCTCATTCCCTTGACAATTACATCTGAGTGCAACTTTATTGCCATGGCAATACAAAGAAAGTCTACCAATGATTTGATATCTAGAGCTTAGAAATAAACAGCTGCATGGTACCAATTTTATTATATAAAGCAAAGTTTATATAAACGCAACTGGGCTTAAAACTCATTTGGCAAGAATTAAATATTTTCCATTTATTCTAGAGACATTTTTAGAGTGCCATGGCTGTGGTGGAAACATAAATAAAGCATCATCACAGGACAGGATTAATTAATTGCCTGAAATAATTTCAAAGCTGTAAGTGAAAGATCCTATCTTTATTAATGGTATTCTTTTCTCAAATCAGATTTTGAAACCTCACAAGCTTTTGACTCATCTCTCTCCTGTGCACTGCTAGAAATCTTATTTAACTCATGTTGCAGCCACCCTAATTCCAATCCTTGTCACTTCACTCCTGAGTTTCAGCAACACTCTTAGAGAAGAACTTCTTAATTTCTCTCCAACCTAGCTTTGTACAATGGTCTGTTCTCTATACCACCATCTATTGTCTATACTACAATACATTATGTTGGGAATATATCTTATTATGTACTACTGGCTTATTGTGTTAGTCATGGGTAACCAACTAGAATGAAGAACGAACTAGAGAACAGGAACTATGTCTTTCACATTTATGTCGTCTATAGCACCTAACGTAATTATTGCTACACAGTATGTTGCTACAGGGAGTCTTCCATGGCCTAGATCTGGGCTAGATACTTCTCCTCTACACAACTGTGACACACTGCCGTATCCTGGTTACATTATCAGTGCATTACAACTGGCTGTATTACATTTGTTTCTTTTTGTTTCTCTATGAACTATGAGAGCAGAGCCTACATTTATCTGGTTCATCACTGACCCTCTAGTACCTAGCCCAGGTTTTGATTATATATTATGTGCTCAATGCATATTTTTAGATTATTTGTTGTTGGTTAGTGCAGTAAGATAGTTAAGGAGGCTGGGATGAATAGACCAAATGGCATCCATAGCATCATATTATTTTGTTTGACTTGGCTTCAGGTACAATAGATCAATATAACCTAAATATTATAATGAACCAGATAACTGCATTTGGCCCTTTGCAACTGTATAATATTAAAATTATTATATTTTCTATACCTGTTTAATTGTCTATAAAATTCTAGCTCCTGGAGTGCAAAGGACAGCATTTTTTACTTCTGCATATCTCCCTCAGTTCCTACCTCAGTGAGTGTTTCTTGATCTGACATCATTAAATGCAGTTTAAAAAGAGTCTGTGTTCTAATCTGTCTGCTTAGTGCTAAACATCTGTTGCTTCCTAACAAGTGCTGCATTCATTTTAATGGCACTGGTGCACAGAGGTAAACGGAGCTTTGGCAGGCCTTCCATAAGAGAAACTGTTTGCTTCCTTCATTAATTACTAATGGAGCATTAAGACACGCATTCTGCCTTGAGCCAAGTTGGATAATTCCTGGCACTTAATGCTAGGGTGCTTTCAAAAGTTGAGACATGTACTGACACACCAGAGAGCCTGCCCTATAGCAAGCACAGTGGTGTCTATAGTGCCAACATTATATAAAGCTTCAAATATATCAATACCAAGTGTACTGATATGTCTAACCTTTGCATCTATTGGGTTAATGTGGAATCATAGGTATCCCTACAGTAGCTCTGAAGGTAGCTATCACAAATGAGCTGGATGAATCATCAGAAAGATACAGAAAGGTTAAAAATAAAAGGATAATCAAAGATTTACCAATTAAACACAAATCAACAGAGTGAGAGTGGCAAGCTAATAGAACTATAAATCAACATCTGATTTATCAATTTATATTTAGCAGCCAATTGCCAACACAATTAAAATGAAACATTTATACCCTTGGATATGCTAACTAGTACAGCATCAAAATGATAAAAACAGTAAGAAATAAGAGAATGACAGTCACTTATTGTTAGTAGTAGATTTTAACATATAGCCATCAGATTATGATAGACTAGAGATAAAATATGAATATGGATATAAAAAGAATATAATTATAAATGTTGATAAATTGGCTATATTTAGATGTTTATGGGTTATATAAAATACCTTATATTACATATTCACATGGAAATTTTACAAAAATAATATGGTAGTTTACAAAAGAAATAGCATTTTTTTTAAATGCAGATATTTTACAGTTTCTCTCATTACAAAGCAGTGACCTAGATCTGGGCTAGATACTTCTCATCATTCTCATTACAAAGCAATGAAATATAATATAAATGTAAACAAAACAAGCGAACAACCAATCGATGTTGCCTGAATGCGGGGGCTAGAGGAATCAGCAGAGGTAAGATTGTCCTTTTAAGGTTAAACTTTAATCAACACAGCACACAAAGCCAGAGTGATGCAATGTCACTTCAGAGAGAAAATATGATCCCCAGGACACTGAGATCTAGTCATGATTCTACTGAATATATTAACATTTCCAATGGGGGAAAAAAGTGTGAATCCAACGAAGAGCTGGCTCAGCCAAAACAAACAAAGGCAAGTGCTAGTGTTCATCCAGGGACAAGGGAGCCTCATTCAACTAGACTTAACTAATCCAGCCTGTGGCAGGATCCTCCTTCATGAGAAGATGGAAGCATGGTGTTGTTTTTGCCTGGTTTTGCTCAAATGTCATGCACACCAGGCACCTTTTGATTGTAAACCAGCCTTTCCTGTATTGGTCTGCGTACACCATGATTGTCCCTTAGGGGAACTGTGAGTGTGGGGCTCCTCTGTCCTCATGGAGTTGGTAAGTATGAAATCCTTCTAAGAAATGATCTGCTGTGGTCCTGGAAAAGGAAGCTTCATGAGCCTTATAGAATGTTAAGGCTACAAGGAAAGAAAGTCCAGAAATTAACATACATTGGTATGTTAACTTGGTAACTTAGTAAAACAAGTTATGGAGTAGAAGTTGTTCTTATTCACTGCTGTGTTTTGGTGCTCAGAATAGGTTTTCGTATGTATGAGACACTTAAGTATTTGGTAGAGACATGAAACAAGTAGGAAAGGACAGAATTATTTAGCAAATGCTGGTGGGATAATTGATTAACTGTTTGACATACACTAAAATAAATAACATGGATTAAAGAGTTAACTTACAAATAGAAAATTAAAAGAATGATCCAAATGTCAGTAGTACTTCTGAAGGGGCAACGATTTTGTGCATTTAGAAGGATAAGAAGAAATCACAAGGGGAATAAAAATGACAAATCTGACTACATAAATATTAAAAACGTATGTTAGCAAAATACTATAATAGTAACCAGAATTCAAACTCAGACAACATGGGAAAATATTTTCAGAAAATGCGACAGCCAAAGGCCTTGCATCTTTATTATGTAAAATGTTCATACAAATTGATAAGAAAAACACTGAAATTCCAAGAGCATAAACAAACAGCTCACATAAAAGAAATTAAAATTAGTAAATATATGGGAAGATATTTGACCCAGCTGGTAATCAAAGACATTCAAAATAAAACAGTAATTTTAAAAAATTTGAATTAGCAAAGAAAATCTAAAAATTGATTTTCATAAAACCCAATGCTTGTGAGAATGTTGCAAAAGTTGTATTTCATATTTTGCTGCTGATGGCTTATAAATTGGTACCTCGTTTTTGGAAAACAGTTTGGCAATACAATATCAAGAGTCATTAAAATGTTTTATAGCCTTTGACCTAGTAATTTGACTTCTGGGAATCTATCCTGAGGAAAATTAATCCAAAATATGGAAAACATTAAATGTCTAAAATGAATTGGGAAACACTAAATGTCTCACAATAGGGGATTGGTTAATATGTTGTAGTACAGCCATTGGACTAAAAACTACATAGCCATTTATAATTACAGGAATAGAGACCATGCAGCCAAATGGAAAGATGCTTGTGCTTCAATATTAAATAGAAATGAATATATACTTAGTATAAAAAGATACGTAGCAACAATTGGAGTCAGTACACCAAATTTTAAGTGGTTGAGCTAAAATAGCAGGATAACAGTGACCTTATCTTTTTTCATAATGTGCTTTCAGCCTGTATTTCTGGATGGCAATTGCCTTCCTTTCTTGACCCAAGTCCTGCCCAAGCTCCACGCCCAGCTTCCAGAGCCCTACCCATCTGTGTTGATGCCACTTAGTTTCCAGCTTTTCCAAGAAGCCCTCCCATCCCATCAGCCAAATGGAACTCTCCCTTTCCCATGCTCTTTTTTTTTTCTTTTTTTGAGACAGAGTTTTGCTCTGTCGCTCAGGCTGGAGTGCAGTGGCATGATCTTGGCTCACTGCAACCTCCACTTCTCGGGTTCAAGTGATTCTCCTGCCTCAGCCTCTTGAGTAGCTGGGATTACAGGCACCTGCCACCATGCCTGGCTAGTTTTTGTATTTTTGTTTTTTAGTAGAGCCGGGGTTTCATTATGTTGGCCAGGCTGGTCTTGCACTTAGACCTCAGGTGATTCGCCTACCTCGGCTTCGCAAAGTGCTGCAATGACAGGCATGAGCCACCAGGCCTGGCCCCTTTCCCATGCTCTTGTGATGCTGTATTAACATTTCTTTTACAGGATAATATACAATTTGCCTTGTATGGAAATAATATGTGTACAGTATGTGTCTGTTTCTGCAACTAAATTTCTAAACCCCTAGAGGGCAAGAACCATTTCATTTATTTTTCTCTCCCCACAGCAGAAGGCACAGGGCTTTTCCTGTGTGATATGCCTGAATAAATATTGGTTGAAATTAATTGAATTGCACTGCAATGAACTACTTCTGATTCCCTCGCAGGTGGAGCTCATGAAGGACTTCAGCATTTGGGTCCTTTTGGCAACATCCCCAACATCGTGGCAGAGTTGACTGGAGACAACATTCCTAAGGACTTTAGTGAGGATCAGGGGTACCCAGACCCTCCAAATCCCTGTCCTGTTGGAAAAACAGGTAACAGATATGCCTTTGGGTTCCCATGAAAAGTTGGGGCTTTGGAAGGAAATCAGAAATTCTAACATCAGCTACAAATATTCCCAGAAATTGTTATTTCCATTCTGATGAGCCCATGTGTATTTGTAAGTAGATGGGAAGGGGAAATTTATTCTAGAATTTTTATATGAGCTCTGTGTTCAGACACACCCACATAGGATTTTCCCTTGCCAAGGCTTTACTTTCTTTCTGTGTCTCCCCTTCTTTGGGAATTGATGCACTTTTCTGCACTTGCTACTCTTTTTTTTTTTTTTTTTGAGACAAAGTCTCGCTGTGTCACCCAGGCTGGAGTGCAGTGGTGTGATCTTGGTGCACTGCACGCTCCGCCTCCCAGGTTCATGCCATTCTCCTGCCTCAGCCTCCCGAGTAGCTGGGACTACAGGCGCCTGCCACCACTCCTGGCTAATTTTTTTTTGTATTTTTAGTAGAGACGGGGATTCAGCGTGTTAGCCAGGATGGTCTCAATCTCCTGACCTCATGATGCACCCTCCTCGGCCTCCCAAAGTGCTGGGATTACAGTCGTGAGCCACTGCGCCCGGCCTGCACTTGCTACTCTTTTAATGAAAGGGGAAACACTTTTTTTTCCTTTTCCATGATACAACTTCTGCTGAGTTTTAATGTCTTTGGAACTAGTTAGTTTGTGGATTATCCATGCCTGTTTGTTCTCCTCGTTGATCATGACAGTCAACATTCTAACAGTGTCATGCATCAACACCGAGTTAGCATCTATCCTAAAATCCTGTTTATTTGGGGGCCAGGAGGTGGCATGGGAGAGAAGAGGATCAGGAAGAAGCTGGTTAAGGAAGAAGGTTGAAATTTTCCATGTTGTTCATGCATCCCACCCACTTTCCTACCCACTAATGCCATAGAGAATGGTGAGTGGGCTTCACTTACATCCGGCTTTGAGCAGCTGACCTTGGTGGTTAAGAGTAGTGGCTCTAGACTCTGACTACCTGAGTTCAAACTCCAGGTCAACCTGTGTGACCTTAAACAAGTTAATTAACCACTTCGTACCTCAATTTCCTTATTTGCAAAATGGAGGTCATTGTGGGAATTAAATAAAATTATCCATGTAAAGCATTTTAGCACAGCACCTAGCACAGAGTAAGGACTCTTTAAATGTCATCCTGATTATAATTAGCTTTGCTGCCCCTAGTAAATAATGCACCTCTTACCTTGGGCTTGTGTTAGCTTCTAGCACCAGAGTAGTCTTTTCCTGCAAGCCTAATAATAATAATAGTT
This sequence comes from Homo sapiens, assembly GCF_000001405.40. Classification (NCBI taxonomy): domain Eukaryota; kingdom Metazoa; phylum Chordata; class Mammalia; order Primates; family Hominidae; genus Homo; species Homo sapiens. Next base: position 2,199,608 of record NW_012132920.1, read on the forward strand.
GGTATTTATCAGGTTGGTGCAAAAGTAATTGCACTTTTTACTATTGCTTTCAATAGGAAAAACTGCAATACTTTTGCACCAATCTAATATTATTTCTACTTTATATTAAGAAAACAGAAGCTTAGAGAGTAGCTTGCATAAGGTTATCCAGGTAACAAGTAGCTGAACCAAGACTCAAACCCAAGTCTACCTGATTAAGGACTGTGTACTCAACCACCAGGACATACTGCCTTGCTCTGAAAATTGTGATAACATTGACTACTCAACTTTTTTTCTTTTTCTTTTTCTTTTTTTTTTTTTTGAGATAGGGTCTTACTTTGTTGCCCAGGTGGGAGTGTAGTGGCACAATTATAGTAATTCTGTGCCTCAGCCTTCCAAGTAGCTGGGACAACAGGTGTGTGCCACCATGCCCAGCTAATTTTTAAATTTTTTGTAGAGGTGGGGTCTCATTATGTTGCCCAGGCTAAACTCAAACTTCAGAGCTCAAACGATCCTCCCACCTTGGCCTTCCAAGGTGCTGGGATTATGGGTGTGAGCTACCACACCGAGACTTTTTTTTCTTATGATACCCATAACTAGTCTGACATCAGCTTTTCTTAAACACAATGCAGGCTGTCTCTGAAAGAGACTGTCTTAGAAAATATGCTCCTCCTTTCATTTAGGATGAGGCCTCTGTTTTCCGTGGGGCACAAAGCTTCCATCTTGAGGCAGAACAACCAAAGTAGTTGGATGTGACCAAGCCAATGTGTGGCTGCTGGGCCAGGAAGGCAGGAAAACCTGAATCCCTGCCTGGCTCTAATCATTTCAGCCACCTTCTACTTGTTTGTAGGGTTTTGGATGGGTAGGAAGAAAGACTAGTTCAGAGTTTAGAGAGCGACAGTCTCCATTGTTAAGTCCATTGGATGTGGTACAGTGCAGTGGTTCTTAAAGTGTGATTCCAGGACCACCAGCAGCAGCAGCACCTGAAAACTTGCTAAAAATGCAACTTCTCAGTCCCTACCCTGATTCAACCTATTGAATCAGAAGATTCTGGGGGTGGGACCCAGGAATTTGTTGCAACCAGTCCTCCTCATGGTTCTAGTGCACACTGAACTTAGAGAATATTATAGGAGAATGGAAAGAGGTCCAGAGTTTGAGCCAAGAGATCTGACCTCTAGTGTTGACTGTAGTATGCCACTTTCACTTTCTTGAGCCTTAATGTCTTCACCTATGGAAGGAAGACATAGGCAATGCCTCCAAAGAGCATACAGTGTAGTTCTAGCTTGTCTGAAAACAAAAACAATAAAAACACAAAATCATACAGACCTGTGGAATCAAGCTCTAGTCTGTGCACTTAGGAGCTCTGAGAGGACAGCAATCAAGCTGGCCTGGTAGAATTGGACAAAATCCCAAATCCAGACACTTTCTTGTCACAGGTTGTCTGCCATTTCCTTTGCTGTTCTTCCATGAAACTAACATATTCCCTCATTCTTTGTTCTGCCACAATCTGCATTCCAAGAATGAAATCGCTTGCTAAATTTAGCCATTATTTGTGAGGAATTGCTTGAATTATGACACAACACAGCACAGTTGAGCAATCCAAGAATAAAACCTTGATTTCTCCTTTCATGCCATGCTGTCCTCTGAATCATGGCCCACTCACCCTGGATAGAGCAGCAGAGCTCAAAGAGTCCATCTCAGCCTCAGAGATAGGATGTGAATTCTAGGGCACATTTTTAAGCCCGGAGACACCTTCGGTTCCCAGAGCAGGCTTTATCTGCATCTCAGTCAGGGCCCACTCAGAGGTACACCAGAAACAATTATGAAAGGTTATAAAGGTGCCATATGCAGATTGCCTGAACTCTCTTGAATTGGTATATTTTCCTACATGTTAATTGCTATATATTGTGTAAGTTAGATAAATAGCTCACTGAAAAGTGGAGAGCCGCATTAGGGATTTGTTCAGAATGCTGATGACTTCCACACTAGCTGTATACTGCTAAGAGCTGAGAGACTGTGTACTGAAAGCTTAAGAGCAGTGTCAAGAACTAGACAACCTGGCTAATTGTAAATGGCCCCCCTTTCAGCATTGACTTTGATGTCTCATTATGTCTTTCAAATGAGACCCTCCTTCTTCCCCCTAACCCTGCACAAAATTCACAATCCCTCCTCTGTCCCCCTTTTTATTGCTGTTGTCTAAAATATATTAGACATGGGAAAAATGACTCATTTTTAGAGCATCATGCCTAGTAATAATAGAATTTACATAAAAGCAGCATCTGAGAGAGATAGCCTTCTTTCTTTGGTTTCAATGGAAAACTTGCTTGATTTCAAAGGGCAGTCATAGTATAAACTGTCAGTCAAAGGGAGATAATGGGAAGGGAACTAAAACATATTGCAAACCTATTATGTGCCGGGTGTTCTAAATGTAATCATCTCTATTCCTCACAGCAATCCCGTAGGTAAGTATTTGATTATTTGCATCTCACACATACATGAACAAACTTGGAGAGACCAAGTTAACTTTCCAAAGGAACTAAGCCTATCTATATCTTAGGAGCTGGGATTTGATCCTTGAGCTCTGCTCTTGTCTGACTCCAAAGCTTAAGCTGTTATCACAATAAAACACAACATCAAGTGCTGTGTGGAGATTGTTGTTGTTGTGTAATGTACTTTTTCCAAGAAGCCAAAGTAGTTTCTAAACTGCTTGCTCAGGAGAAAACAGAGTGGGTCATGTGCAACAGAAGTATGTTACCTAAGGAAACACTTGCTCTTGTAACAAATAAAAACATTGTATGGCTCAACGCAATAGAAGTTTATTTTTCACCCGTGTGAAGTCCTGCCAGAGGCGCGTGAGGCTGTAGTGCGGTGGATGGTTCGGCACCCCAGACTGCCATCTTTACACTTGACCCCCACAGTTGCCCTGGCAACATGTAACAAGCTGACCAGGAGATGGGGGTGGGGAATGAGGAGAAGTGGAGCATGGTATGAGAGGTTTTTATGCTTTTAGGTGATGTATTTCAATTCCAGGCCTGGGAATGGAATACATTACTTGTGCCCACATTCTGTTGGCCTCCACTCAGGCAAATGACTCCACGTGATTGCAAAGCAAGGCTGGGAAATTAGTCTAGCTGGGTGCTAAGGAGGAAAGGGAAGTGGGTTTGGTGAACAGCCAGTGAGTCTCTGCACAGGAGTGGGAGTTTGAGATGAGTAATCCTATCTAACTGGATCCTAGAGGGAAGGTGGCTGCTAGTGTTCTAAGTTACTACTGATGTGAACAGATTCTGACCTTTGGCTGCCTAGTTGTTTTTGATAAATTAACTCTTAGAATAATGATGAATGTCTTGGCCGTTCCTCAAAAACCTTTGGCTGTTTGCAGCAGATGATGGATGTCTAGAAAACACCCCTGACACTGCAGAGTTCAGTCGAGAGTTCCAGTTGCACCAGCATCTCTTTGATCCGGAACATGACTATCCAGGCTTGGGCAAGTGGGTAAGTCCTATCTCAATTGTTAGTAGATTTTGCACTTTGGTACTCTGAAGGTGCTGATGGCAGGGATGAGCAATATGGGCAGAAGGAGAGAAGAAAAATTATTTAGAAGCTAATTTTTCAGAAATCTCTGGTTGACAGAGCTTCAAGTCATGACTACTCAAAACCACACTTATGTGTCCAGGCAGCACTATACCAAATCCAACTAAAGAGACAGCAACCTAACATTGACCGTAGTCTCCAGAGTCTTCTACTCTGGTCTGCTTCACAGCCTGTGTCATACACATCCTAAATTTCACCAGTGTTTCATGCATCTCTATAGGGTTTTATCAAAGGATATGATTTTTTTTAATTGACACAGAAAATTTGCAAATGTGATCTCTAAACTAAGGGAGATGATCTCTGCAGAATCAAGGGAATAAAGATGCCAGAGCTTAGAAACAGATATATATAATTCTGCTTTATAGAAAGAGAAAAAATATTCCGTGATGTGTAGCAGTGAGATTGCTGTCAGTCCTAGGTAAGTGCATATAGCTGTCAGTTAAGGGAGTTGTTTATAAGCACTTGGAAAGATAAATCATGACCATTTGGCATCAGTGTGCTAAAAACAAGTCTTGCCAATCTAATTATATTCTTCCATTTGCCAGCATTATTCATTTATTTGCCAGCTTGAAGAGGGAAATGCAGTGGGCATGGTGCATTTGGACTTTTGCAAAGCATTTGACAAGATCGTTTTATGTTCCCCTATTGGAAGAGGTGGAAAGATACAGCCTAGGCAACAGAATGTCACCAAAATGGGGCTTGTTAAAGAGTCCATGTAAATAGGGAGGGAGATTTCACATGGTATTCTGTGTGTCTTAGCACTACCCCACTCCACATTTTCATCAATGTTTGTAATAATATAGAACTTGTACTTATCAGATTCCCAGAGGATGACATGAAGTTGGAAGAGATACCATCAGATGACAGAGTTGGGATTCAAGAAGATCCCAGCAGACTAGAACAATGAGCCAAACAAGATCAGAACTGAGTGGGGATATGTCTGTGTTTCTGTGGTTGGGCCAGATGCTGAAGCCATGGGAGAAAAGTGGGGAAATACCTAGGAGTGTTCCTTCACATGTAACAGTAGGTGGCCAGTACGTCTGTGGAATGAATGAGTGAGTGAATGAGCAAATATTCCAACTCCCTCAGCCCTTCTAAAGTCCTCATCTCTTCTTAGCTCATTATTGGCAGATGGCCTTGCTTACTGCTTTACTGGGAACACTGAAATTTCAAAACTAAACTCCCTCCTTTCCTCCTACATTGTTTTAGAGAAATCTTCATTAATGACCACTTTTATTTTTTTCAGCGTCTTGCTTTAACATGCATTGTCAGTTCCCTCTGTCTTCAACGTACACACATTTCCTGTCTTAAAACAACAAAGCAACAACATTCCTAAGTTAATTTTGCTTCTTCCAATTTGCATTATTCCATTTCCTTCTTTTTCATAAACAGTTCTGTTTGGAAGAATTGGTTTGTGGAGCCACTTTCAAGCCTAGTAGTAGAGCTTAAACATGTTGAATTAAATAGAAAAACATCTATAGGTTCTCGAATAGGAGACTGAAATAATAAAAGCCTTCTATAAAAGAAGTTATTTTGATGGCATATTAAAGGATGAAGTAAAAGGAGAAGAGACTAACCCTAGACAGGAAGAAAATATGGGGAGTCATTTCAGTTATGATGACTGTGAACACCGTGAAGAAGGGTGAGAATCCAAGACATTTTAAAGGGGGAAAAACTAACTAGAATTGGTATACGGAATAAATATAACATGAAGAAGAAAGAAGAGATATGTCAGGTTCATATGAAATGGACAATATGAACTTTTTCTTTGAATGCATTTTAGAAAGAAAGAAAAGAGAAGAATAGAGGGAGGAAGGACATAAAAAAGAGAAGAGAGAGTGAGGGAAAGAGTAGATTGCGGAGGAGTACTGGGAAGAGATCCACAAGAGGTGATCGAAGCATTGCCAAACAGAAGCAAAAGCCAGGTTCGATAAGGCACAAAGAGAACACATTGAGCCTGCTGTGTTCCAGGCACTGTGCTAGATGCTCAGTATGCAGGAGTCATCAGGACATGGTGCTGGTCTTCAGAGAGCTTATAGTCCCACGGTTGAGATGAATTGCATGAAAATGAAATGAACCCAACTTAGCACCGCTCCACTTCATGTTTCGTCTGTATTCTGAGGGCCAGGGGCAATTATTAGGGAAGATGGAAGACAAGGGTAGAGGAAGATCCAGAACTGAGGACTGGTGTGGCTGATTGGGGTAGTAGCCACAGAGGAAGTCAAAGGCACTAAGGAGGGCAGCACTGAAGTTTCAGGTGGGAAAGTCTTCAGCTTCACCAGTAGGCTAGGAATGAGAGAAAGAAAGGAGGGAGACTGAGTCAAGGTGTGAGTGAAGGCAAGGAGCCCAGTTGGTGGCATGATGAGGTGGGAGGGATGAAAACATCTCTTTTCAGCTCTCTTCATCTCTTCTTGAAAATCTTCACAGATTTCTCTCATCAAATTCCACTCACTTCCAGTGCCCCAGTATGAGGCCAACCACGGTCCTTCATTCTCTGTGCTTCCTTCTCGAAACACTGACTTGAGTTTCTCTCAGTGTTTCCTATTCTTTGTCCACATTAGAGCTAAAGACTAGAATCTAGGATCAAATGTAAAAGGAAAATATTAGAGATCAATGACCAGGAACAATGTTTAGATACCTTTTATCATCTGCAATTATGTGTTTACTTAAACTTAGGTCTCCTTGTTTATTTTCTCATTACTACCTACCAGTAAAACATTGTTTCCTTGGTTTTCACATGGAAGTGGGAATTGAGTATGTCTTGCTTTTCTAAACTGGGAACCACAAACCTTCCTCAGTGCTTATATGGAATGACAGTCTCAAGCTTGTCTTCAGCCCAGCCATCCTTTAAGTTAACAGAGTCATCATCTTTCATGATAGAACAGCACAAAGACCCTGCTTCCTTATCTGCTAATAACGCTTCCTTGTTTTTGACAGTAGCTGGAGCTGAGCTGCATCTTTAACAGTGATTCACATATTACACATTTCAGTGTCTGTCTTGTTTCCTGCATTTCTCTCTTCGTTAGTGCATCAAGACACATTTATTAACGACACATCATATGCCTTCCGGGCCCCGTGTTAGGTAATGGGAATACAAAGATGAATGATAATAGTAATTGTATTACATAATACATAATACTATATAATACAATAGTAAATAGTAATATTTATTGACCACATACTATATGCCAGACTCCTTTCTAAATACTCAGTAATCTTATTCAATCTGCCCATCCTTGTCATTCTCACTTTCCAGATGAGAAAATGCAGGCTTGGGGAGCTGAGGAGCCTGCTCAGCCCACAGAGCTGGGATTTGAACCCCATCATCTGACTCCAGAGTACTTTACAAGCTGAATACATTCCCTATCTTTTCATGGCTCATTGCTCCTAACCTGTCCTGTGTGGTAGTCCTATTGAGTCCTACCGAGGGCTGGCTGCCTTCCAGACAATGTGTGTGACTACACCAGTGGTGACCACACCAATGGCTGGCTCCTGTACATGCCAGCTACCCACTCCCCCTTTACACATTAACTGCTGAGTGTTATTTACTTAAGAAAAAGTTGTCTCAAAAAGCAAATATTTTTCCTTTCCAAATGCTTTCACACCTTTTCATCAGTAGCTGATCACAGCCAGAGCCTGAGCCACGGGGATATGAGGGACCAGACCCCTCCCTGACTTGCTTTGTCATTCCTGACCTTAACATGTTTGATGAGTTGAATGCTCTTCAATGTGGATTTGACTCAGGTTTCCATGTGATTAGACCTGCTTAGTATTTTATGTCCTACTTAGTATTTTACATCAGCAAGCACATGATGTCAGGGAAGTTTGTCTCATGACTGGCAGTGTTCACTTTGTTAAGGTGCTGCCCTCCAGGTTTCTCTGGTGTAAAATTCCCTTAGAAATTAATAGGCCGGGCACAGTGGCTCACACCTGTAATCCCAGCACTTTGGGAGGCCGAGGCAGGCGGATCATGAGGTCAGGAGATCGAGACCATCCTGGCTAACACAGTGAAACCCCGTCTCTACTAAAAATACAAAAAAATTAGCCGGGCGCGGTGGCGGGTGCCTGTAGTCCCAGCTACTTGGGAGGCTGAGGCAGGAGAATGGCGTGAACCCGGGAGGCGGAGCTTGCAGCGAGCCGAGATAGTGCCACTGCAGTCCGGCCTGGGCAAAAGAGCAAGACTCCGTCTCAAAAAAAAAAAAGAAAAAAAAAAAGAAATTAATAGTTACTCTGTGGGAAGAAGTTTTGGGGCTGTGTAAATATTCTGCTCCTCGTTCAACTTTTAACCAACAAATATAACATCCATTGATGATGCTTACCAGATTCAATAATGATGATAGCTGCAAAATGATGATTTTCTTACTCCGCTATTCTTTCTGCATTTACTAGTTGACATTCTATTCTAAGCAAGAGTTTCCCCTGCTGTTCTATTTATTTATTTATTTATAAATGTGTTTATTTATATAGTATAAGTATGGATTCATGGATTCCATAATGCATATTATTATGTATTCTGGTGTTCAAACTGTCCTAAATTTGGCCAGTGCGAGTCTCCTCAAGCTTTCTTTTCTTTCCTTTTGACAGGACCTCATCATTTTTTTGAGCACTTCTTTATTTTCTGACCTAATTAGCTATTCCATCTTCACCCATCCTTGCACTTTCCTTCCTAGCCCTGGAATTAGACTTTTCTCCAGGAAGCTCCCTGGCTGTATTTAGGAGTGTAATTTGAAACCAGGATCTGGACAGTTGTCCAAAATCTTGATGGCACTATGGAAAGCCCTTTTAATGAACTTGAACCTGCTACTCACATGGAAAACAGGCTCACCACTCCCCAAGGAATCAACAAGGAATGGGCGTGAGGAGAGATAGCTGATTTCTTTTCATTCAATTTGTATGCTTCTCTTACCCATACCATACCTGCCAATGCCTTCAAGTCCATACAATAATAGGGCTAATTAAGAATGTCCCAGACACTTTCATGCAGGGGTAGGGAAGCATTATCCTGCTAATCCTAACCCTAGCTCTTAAGGAGACACAGGGACCATCTTTGAGAGGAAGATTAGCCAGGCCTTTTGCATTTCTTTTTTTTTTTTTTTTTTTGAGACGGAGTCTCGCTCTGTCCCCCAGGCTGGAGTGCAGTGGCGCAATCTCAGCTCACTGCAAGCTCTGCCTCCTGGGTTCATGCCATTCTCCTGCCTCAGCCTCCTGAGTAGCTGGGACTACAGGCGCCCGCCACCACGCCCGGCTAATTTTTTGTAGTTTTAGTAGAGACGGGGTTTCACCGTGTTAGCCGGGATGGTCTCGATCTCCTGACCTCGTGATCCTCCCACCTCGGCCTCCCAAAGTGCTGGGGCACATTTCTTTTTGAATGAAGACTCTTATGGGTAGGATCTGCCCCCAAGATCTCCTAAAGAATTAAATGATGCTGGCTTTACCTGGCTGATGGCACAGTGGAACTCTGCCAGAGCTGGCTGACAGTCCCACCCCATGGTAGTAGCTCTCAGGTTCTTCCACACTCCATCCAGCTCAGGCAGCTGAAAACAATGGTACACATGAAGAAGACATGTCCTCACCCCTTCCCGGCCTTCCCAGCTCTAACACCAGCTCTTCGGATATTCTCTGCCTCAGGAGTTTTTACGTTCACAGAAAGGCAACCACAGACTGTAGAGAATGAGCCTCACAGCAATATCCTCATTCCTCAAGGAAATGATCTGCAAGTCTGCCTTTTCTCCCTTCCGATATTAAATTGATTTATTCCCCAAGTGAGCAGGAGATAGAGGCTGTAGCCAGTACTGGTGTTTTTGGTAGTAGAGGCTCCTTCACTCTGGCACCGCCTCCTTGCATAGTTGAGGTTGGGCAAGAGATATGCATTGTAAATTGCAGGTGGGGTAGATTTTAATGAACGTGAAAAATGATGAAGCTCATTCTTGGCATTTGTCATTTTCAATTCCAAATCTATCACTAAAAATAAGTCTTTATAAGTGGACAGCTCAGAGGATACATGTTGTATAAACTTGTTCCTTACCAGAACTCTGTGGTTGTCTTTGTTTTTTTTTTTTCTTAATGTCAGAGTATTTTATTTAGAACAAAACGAATCACCTCTTTTATACATCATTTTCCTCCAGATAAAAAAAATCAAATAAATAAAACAACACAAGTAAAGCCCCCCCCCACCGCCACCAAATCCCCTTCTCCCTTTCTGCCTTCAGGTTAAGTGTTCTGTCTTTTATAATCTCAATAGAAGGGAAATCTGTTGAGCATGTGTCTGATATTCTAGAGCTCATTGAAGCCCACTATGTGTTTGAAATACAGCAATGTGTGGAAACACTTACACAAACTGTGGTAACAGAGCCCTGCCCCCCGACCCAACATAACTTTCCTTTCTGCCAAGAAGTTTTTTGGCAGTTTTTAAAAGGTTCACTCTATTAAAAATGTTATAGACCAAATGGTTTTCCAATTGTCTTGACTGGGGGCACTGACTTAACGCCACAGACAAAATGGTTGCAGAAGTCAGAATGTCTCGTTTATTTACACAGGGGATTGTTGTTAATAGTCAGACGCTACTCTAGAGAGCAGTTTATAAAAAGGGAGTTAGATACAAAAATAAATGAGATAAAATCATTTGTTTTAAACAAAGGCTGTTCAAAGTGAGGAGATGGGTTTCCAGCACCCTTCATGTTTTAAAATGTCGTATTTCCCTGTTTATGTGATTGTTGATGACACTGGTGTGCCTCAGGGCATTGCAGAGGACTTTATTAAAAGCCGAACCACCACCAGCTTTACTCTTGTGGTCTATCTTTCTGACACGACATTCCTTTCATCTAGTTTTGTTTCCAAAATATGCGTATGCAAATATCTAGGGGACACACCAAGTATTGCTTTTAAAATAGACATTCACCAAATTTGATCCATACTTCTGCATTTTTTGTTTTCTTTTCTCCCCATTCTAGAACAAGAAACTCCTTTACGAGAAGATGAAGGGAGGAGAGAGACGAAAGCGGAGGGTAACACGTGCCTGGCTGGATTGTTGCGGGGATGCTTGGAGCTTTCTGAGTGGGGCAGTGAACAGGCTGAAACCCTCGCTTGTTGGGAAGTCACAGAATCCTCCCTTGTGTAGTCCTGAGAAACACTGGTCCATGTGACAAGGGCCACACCCAGAAAGTCTGTCCTTGGTTTCTGCGATGGCTTCCCCAGGCTTTAGCAGATGATTTTTAGTGGAACGCGCAGTCTGTAGCGATTCTAGCAACTCCATTCCGTTCAGGAAATGTGTATTGCTTCCCCCATCAGTGTGGGACATATCTGGGGGGACATGAGGGTCTGTCTGCCCTCCCAGGGTCTGTAGGCCAGTGGGGAAAAACTGATCACACATCTGCATCAATTCTATAAAAACACAGGACAGAAACAGGGAAGTGCTGAACTGCATGCTCCAGGAAATAACTTTGAAGGAATTCGGGAGCAAAAGATGAGATGAACAAACTTAATTTCTCCTATGTATCTTTTTTTCTTGGCCTAGCCAGACTGATGTAAAATCTACTAGATCTGTAATATTTGTTTGCTGTCTGTTGAATTTACTGCAGGCTTAGTTTTTAACCATCCCAGGGCTGCCCAAGGTAGGAACTTGGTCTAGATACTCCACATTTAGCTACTTCATATACAGTGTTGCCTCACGTAAAACTCAATGTCACATTTGCTTTGGCTTTCCAGGGTATTTTATAGCATCAAGACTTGATAAGTGATCAAGGTCCATTCTGCTAATCCACTGGTACCTTACTAGTCAGAAGGGCCTGGCCACCTACCTCCTTCTTTATCTGATCAGATGAAAGTGGGAGAAAAAACAACCCCACTGTTACATGGTAAAATGCTATGAGATAGTGACCATTTTAGTTAAAACATACAAACCTAAGCACGTACTCAAAGCCACTGACTATTTATTCAGAAGAGCAAGTGCCTGGATCCTCACAAAATTTGGGAATCTGGGCAGTGGTAATTGTGGCCATTCTGAAGGGTTTTGCCAAATCCGGTCAGAGAGAGCTTCAAGAGGTGTGGATTTTCTGGCCTCAGCATCAGTCCTCAGGCCCCCACAACAGAAGGTTCCAAGCCCCTGTACTGCCTGACAAAACACAGAAGACATACAGCAATTTTCTACGCGAGAAGTAGAAAATTTTTACCTCTGGAAACAAATCTTTTTTGAGGAGAGTTAACAGAGTTATTAGGGGTTTTTCTTGGTGATTACAGCTTCCAATAGCAGATGGTGACAGAAAGGGTCCAAAGGGTATAATGTGGTCTTGAGGGAACATCAAGAAATTCTATTCTAGGAACTCAAAATACACATAATTTACCAGTAACACGGCTTGAATATCTCCCTACAACACAACAAGAACATTTCCAAATAAGAGCAATGACTGACCCAAAATCAATAACTTAGCTTGAAACTTTAATTGTCTCTACTTCCTGGCCCACCATTCCTTCTGCCCTGACTCAGTGAATGACCATGGTCACGATTTAGGTCATTTTTCCGTGAGACTAGTGATTACCAAAACTCAGAATGCTGGCTAAGACACATGCTATAAAGGATTTTACTTTAGCCTCAATTTCCTCCACATAGGAAAGGCTTAGAATTTAGGAAAAGAAGGGTCACTTTGACCCAGAGATATCAAGTTCTTCCTGTTCTTGGGCATCTACAAAGACCCATTCTCATGCCATAAACCATGGGCCTCTCTGGATTGATAAGGAAGCACGTTGGCCCTGCCCATCATGAGGTCTCAGATGATGTTCCCATCTTGATTAAAGACATTAACACTGCCCCACCACCACCCCCAGTACATGAATCAATATAAAGAAACTATACGCTTTCTTTTTTGAACAATGAAGTCTTCCTTCAGTGAAGCTCAGCATCTGCTGTGAGTTTCCAGAGGACATTGTAAGCAAAGATCCAATCCCAGTGGTTCTTCCAGTTGTGAAATGGGAATCATGTTCTCTGTGTGCCCTACCCAATCTCTTGCCCAAGTGAGAGAAGACAAATATAGAAGTGCCTTGAGTTTTTCAGAGCACAATTAAAGCCAAGGCTCAGCTAGGCATGGTGGCTCACGCCTGTAATCCCAGCACTTTGGGAGGCCGAGGAGGGTGGATCACCTGAGGTCAGTAGTTCAAGACCAGCCTGGCCAACATGGTGAAACCCCATCTCTACTAAAAGTACAAAAATTAGCCGGGCGTGGTGGTGTGCTCCTGTTATCTCAGGTACTCGGGAGGCTGAGGCAGGAGAATCGTTTGAACCTGGGAGGTGGAGTTTGCAGTGAGCCGAGATCATACCACTGCACTCCAGCCTGGGTAATGGAGTGAGACTCCATCTCAAAACAAAGCAAAACAAAACAAAAACAAACCCAAAGCTCATTATTATTATTCCTAAGTGCTGGATTCAATACTCAGTTAAATATTTATCAAAAAAGTTCACCTGATTCCTCTTTTTACCTCCTCTTTAATTTTTCCCCTCCCCTCCAACCTTTGCATGTTGTAGGTCTGGGCAGGACTTCTCCCATGAGAGATAGATTCTCCTCAAAGTTGCAACCAAGCCCCATATGGCTTTGAACAACTTTTTGTACTCACCCAAATCCAATTGAATTCCTCATTGCTTCACAAATGAAATGTCAATCTACCTTTAAATGACTGTGAACTTTTAAACTCTTAAGCTGTATCTTGTTAATATTTGAGCGCTACTATTGATCTTATTTAAACAGTTTATGAACCTTTTAATCTCATATTTGATAAACTTGAACCTCTCATATCCTCCTTTAACATATTAGAATTTTTGGAATAAATATTACTAAACAAAATTCTGATATGATCCCCTGGGGTAGGCCAAACCACTGTAATTGATAAAAGGAATTTTTATTATTTTAAATATTTCTAAGATGAATTCTCAGCAAGGTGTTGTCTTGTGGCATGTCACTTTTCAAATGTCTGAGGACATTGCTCACTTTGTAATTCTCACCTACTTTGTGATGCATCTTTGTAGAGTGAGTCGGACCTTTCACGATTCATGCGTTTAGCAGTCAGAATGTGAAAGAACATTTGTAAATGCTAAACTCAGGTTTCATTCCTTCTCTTTTGAAGAATGTCTGCTCACCTTTCAAGAGTCATGGCAGGTTATTTCATGGGCAAGAGAGCTCCACCTGTGAACAGACTCCATTCATACATGGGGATTGAGCATGCAACAGGGATTGCTGATCGTTTGTAACTACAGCTTCTTTCTTTCTTTTTTTTTTTTTTCTTTTTTGAGATGGAGTCTCGCTCTGTCGCCCAGGCTGGACTGCAGTGGCGCAATCTCGGCTCACTGCAAGCTCCGCCTCCCAGGTTCCTGCCATTCTCCTGCCTCAACCTCCCAAGTAGCTGGGACTACAGGGGCCCACCACCACGACTGGCTAATTTTTTGTATTTTTAGTAGAGACGGGGTTTCACCGTGTTAGCCAGGATGGTCTCGATCTCCTGACCTTGTGATCCGCCCACCTAGGCCTCCCAAAGTGCTGGGATTACAGGCGTGAGCCACCGCGCCTGGCTACAGCTTCTTTCTTATATTTTTGTTCCATTATTGGAAGGCAACTTCAATGAACAAACATCTTCCAAAACTTTTGAATTTTTCTTCTGCTTGCTAAATACTATTTTGTAAAGTTTCAATTACTAGTTCGAATCCACACCTCAATAAATAGATATGTATTAGAGAAGGAATGGAAAAATATTTACTCATTAAGAATACCAACACATGAAAGTGATTTCAGAGTATGGAGTCTTGAGTCAAAAACAAAGGACCCTTCCCGGAAGCTTCCTTTTTTGCTTCAGTTTTTGAATTTGACTGAAGGAAGGTGGAAATGATCACTCGAGCCCCTAATGAATTCTCCTTAGTAAAATACTGGCGAGGAAGAATCAATCCCAGCAACAGGATGATCTGGGACCAGTCTTCAGATGTTAATTCCCACTTGGCCCTACTCTTCTCCTTTAGAACGTTTTTCTTGCAAAATATAATTTAATGCATTTCAGATTCCCCTTCCTACCTAAATAGGGCCATAGAATAATAATTATCTTTCTTATGGGTCTTGGTATCTAAATTAGTAGCAAGGACTTATGAGCTGGTTTACTGCACATCTTTGCACCAAAAATAATAATTTTTAAAAAGACCACATTGCATCTGATAAAGAGCTCTATAGTTGTGTGAAAAACACAATTAGAGACATCTATCAGTCAGAAAATGTTTCATAGGCCACTGAGGTATTAATTAGTACACTGGAGTAATTGTTTGGTAGTTGGTAGGTGCCACTGGTTACATTGTTGTTAACCTAATAGGCCAGAAACAATTCTTTTCTTTTCTTTTTTCTTTTTTTTTTGAGACAAAATCTTGCTCTGTCGCCCAGGCTGGAGTGCAGTGGCATGACGTCTGCTCACTGCAAGCTCCGCCTCCCGGGTTCACGCCATTCTCCTGCCTCAGCCTCCCAAGTAGCTGGGACTACAGGCACCCACCACCACGCCCGGCTAATTTTTTGTATTTTTAGTACAGACGGGGTTTCACCGTGTTAGCCAGGATGGTCTCGATCTCCTGACCTCGTGATCTGCCCACCTCGGCCTCCCAAAGTGCTGGGATTACAGGCGTGAGCCACCGCGCCCGGCCCCAGAAACGATTCTTGTTCATTTCTTTTCTGAGATGTCTGTATCTGATGTTCACATATAACACCAAACCACATGGTTTTTGTTTGTTTGTTTTTCAGAGTGTCAATCCATATCTACAAGGACAGAGACTGGATAATGTTGTTGCAAAGAAGTCTGTCCCCCATTTTTCAGATGAGGATAAGGATCCAGAGTAAAGAGAAGATGCTAGACGAAAACCCACATTACCTGTTAGGCCTCAGCATGGCTTATGTGCACGTGTAAATGGAGTCCCTGTGAATGACAGCATGTTTCTTACATAGATAATTATGGATACAAAGCAGCTGTATGTAGATAGTGTATTGTCTTCACACCGATGATTCTGCTTTTTGCTAAATTAGAATAAGAGCTTTTTTGTTTCTTGGGTTTTTAAAATGTGAATCTGCAATGATCATAAAAATTAAAATGTGAATGTCAACAATAAAAAGCAAGACTATGAAAGGCTCAGATTTCTTGCAGTTTAAAATGGTGTCTGAGGTTGTACTATTTTGGCCAAGTCTGTAGAAAGCTGTCATTTGATTTTGATTATGTAGTTCATCCAGCCCTTGGGCATTGTTATACACCAGTAAAGAAGGCTGTACTCAAGAGGAGGAGCTGACACATTTCACTTGGCTGCGTCTTAATAAACATGAATGCAAGCATTGGCATATGGAGTTTTCTTTTTAAAGCATTATAAAGAACAATTTCTTTGTTTAATAGAACAACCTGATCTACATATATGATAGTATATGATCCAAACAATAATGCTGTGAACTTAATGGGTCTGGTATTATCCCCATTTTACAGATGGTAGAACTGAGATGCATTCAACACACTGAGATACGTTCAACACACCATTGGGAATCATCAGCAAAATCCAGCATGAAGAGTCTCTACAGGATAAGTAGCCTAGATTTTTCCAACAAATAAATGATAGGAGGGAAAAATGGTGGGGTACTATCATAGATTTTAAAAGGCTTAAGAGACATACGAGCCAAATATAATGTGTGTGGGTCTTATTTGCATCCTGACTCAAAGAAAAGCATTGATCAGACAGTCAGGGAAGTTTGAGTAGTAACTGAATATTTTGGTATGATTCAAGTGTTACACAGTATTATATTATGGCTATTTTTTTAAAAGAGCCCTTATATCTTAGGGATAAATATTGAATTATTTACAGATGATATGATGTCTTGGATTTCTTTAAAATAATCCAGTGGTAGTGATGAGGTGGAGGGCCAGGAGGGAATGGGGATATAGATAATCAAGACTGGCCATACACTGATAACTGTTGAAGCTGGGTCAAGGGTACTTGGGAGTTCATTGTACTTCTTATATCTTTTTTTTTGTTGCTTTTTTTTTTGTTTTTGAGACAGAGTCTTGATGTATCACCCAGGCTGGAGTGCACTGGTGTGATCTCAGCTCACCGCAACCTCCACCTCCTGGGTTCAAGCGATTCTCCTGCCTCAGCCTCCGGAATAGCTGGGATTACAGGTATCCACCACCACACCCTCTAATTTTCGTATTTTTAGTAGCGACTTGGTGTCATCATGTTGGCCAGGCTGCTCTCAAAACTCCTGACCTCAAGTGATCCGCCCACCCCGGCCTCCCAAAGTGCTGGGATTACAGGCATGAGCCCTCGCATCTGGCTTGCACTTCTTATTTCTATGTTTGTATGTATTTGAAAAATTCAACAATAGAACCACAGTTAATGGTTAAAAAGTAAGAGTAGATCATGGTAAGAACTGGCCTGGAGTCCAGGTGTGGTGCCTCATGCCTGTAATCCCAGCACTTTGGGAGGCCAAGGCAGGCGGATCACCTGAGGTCGAGAGTTCGAGACCAGCCTGACCAACATGGAGAAACCCTGTCTCTGCTAAAAATACAAAATTAGCTGGGTGTGGTGGCGCATGCCTGTAATCCCAGCTACTTCGAAGGCTGAGGAAGGAGAATTGCTTGAACCCAGGAGGCAGAGGTTGCAGTGAGCTGAGATGGCACCACTGCACTGCAGCCTAAGTGACAAGAGTGAGACTCCGTCTCAAAAAAAAAAAAACAACAAAAAACTGGCCTGGAAATAGCAATGTTGGACAAGGTAGAATAAGGCTACATAAGGCTGTGGACAATGTGAGGAAGCCAAAAAGGAAGGTGAATGAAGAGTTGTCCCAAGGTGCTAGGGAAGTAGCAGAGGGATCCACGGGAGAGAAAATCTGGCTGGGGCTAGTGGTGATGAACTAGATAGTGAAGTCAGAGTGGCTGGAAGGAGAAGGGATTTTCCTGGAAAAAAAAATAGGAAACTTAGAGGCAGGAGACAAGGAGAACCTCCATTAGACAGACTCAGAAAGGCCCTTTCTTTCTGAATGGAGTCAGCTGGGCATCTGCAGCACAGACAGAGGGATTTGCCTGTGGGCTGGAGAGGGTCATTACTCCTATCTCAGTCTTCCCACAATGCTCCAGCTGAGGATCTTTGAAACCAGAAAGGTGGTTATAGTCACCCCAGAGACATGTGGAGAACAAAAGAAGAGGATGGTGCTAGCACCACAGCCATTCATCCTGATTGAACTCCCACTGTGGACACAGCCAGCTGGAGCCTCAGAGCAGTCACACAGCATGAGGAGGGGTTTACAATGGGGTCATTCTAGAAGAGAATTTCCTCCGTTCTTGCTACTGGGAGAGAGAAAATAGATTGTTGAGTGTTTCCTACAGCGTTTGTGCAAAGCCATCCTCCCCTCCCACTGCCTTCAAAGTGAGTCACGTGCCAGGTCACCAGGCTGAGTCTTCTAGGGATGGCTCTTCCAAATGTGTTTACACCCAAAGATGCAGTGTTCCGGAACACACCTGGAGGTCCTGAAGGGAGCAATTCAGAGTTGGAAGTGTTTCTGCCAGTGAGTTGGGGGTCTGTCTGGGTTGGGCAGCTACCTGGAGGTGATATGAGCTTGGAAAACTGAGTCATCCACTCGATCCACAGTTCCACAGTCACTGCCACACAATGAGGAGCAGCATGACCCTGACTCCACACTTCCCAAGACTCCTGGAACAGAATTCTATTTCTTTGGCAAGGCTGCGACGAGGACCTTTCCTATTTACTCAGCTAGGCACAAAGGAATAGCAGAAACATCTTTTCTCCTCCTCTTTCCTTTGAAACCTTTGAGAGATACCAGGCTTCACATATAAATCTCACAGATACCAGCCACAGGGTTAGGGCCTGGAGAACGAAACCCTCCAGATCCCCTATCTGTCACAGGATCACATGGTGATCACTAAAGTGCCACTGCCTTGGCCAGGGGGACAGGAGAGCCAGGAAAATGGGAACATTTATTAAAAATAAATTGTCGGCCAGGCACAGTGGCTCACGCCTGTAATCCCAGCACTTTTGTGATCCAGCCAAGGTGGGCAGATCACCTGTGCTCAGGAGTTCAAGACCAGCCTGACCAACATGGTGAAACTCCATCTCTACTAAAAGTACAAAAAAAAAAAAAAAATTATCCAGGCCTGGTGGCGCATGCCTGTAATCCCAGCTACTTGGGAGGCTGAGTCAGGAGAATCACTTGAACCCGGAAGGTGGAAGTTGCAGTGAGCCGTGATGGCGCCATTGCACTCCAGCCTGGGCAATAAGAGCGAAACTCCGTCTCAAAAATAAATAAATAAATAAAATAGATTGTCAGCTAGAGGAACTCATTCTTCTAGCTGCGAGTGGGTAGGGGAGGACATGGTTAATTACTTCTCTCTTATGATCCCTTTTTGTGTTCCTGTGGGACCCCACGCATACTTTCATACAGTCCCTGAAACGGGGCATAATGATAAGAGTTACTCTATATACATAACAAGCTCTGTATACATTGTTCATTTAAACATCCCTCCCTACATTTTATAGATGAAGCCATTGAGGCAGACGGATTCCATGACTTAACCAAAACTCCTCAACTAGTAAGTGGCAGAGTTGGAACTTGAATTTAGGCCTCTGGGACTCCACAGTAGACACTCTCCCCTGTACCACACTACCACCTGTTAAAAGAGAAACCTTAGACAGATTAAACTGAACAGACTTTGAGTAAAGAGCAATTTGCAAAACAGGTTCAGAGAGACTCTGCACTGCCGTGTGGTTGAAGACAACCGATGGACAGCAAAAGGAAAGTGAGGTACACGAAAAGTGAGGGACAGAAACAGCCGTATTGGTTACATTTCAGTGTTTGCCTTATCTGAACATAGTTTGAACAGTTGGCCACCTTTGGCCGAATCTCAGTGATTGGCACAAGAGTAGGTTACAGCCTGTTTACACATCCAGCTAGGTTACAGTTTGCTATGTACAGAGAAAACTTTAGGCCGAGCTTTCACTATGTAAGGAGGCAGCTTTGGGCTGAACTTAATTTGGCACACCTAATACTTGTTTACTTATTATATATGTGCCTCATTCAACTGGGTTATAAGCTCCTTGAAGCCATAGGCTGTGTCTCATTTTTCTTTTTATCTTGATATCTTGCACGCGGCCTAACAAAGGCAATAATAACTGCTGAATGAATGAGCATGATGGAATGTTTTAAAGACGTCATAAAAGGTAAATCATCTTAGACTGTGTACAGAGGGAAAGGTGGAATTACCTCTCACTTTGGTGGGATTTACAGATTGATGTGAAGTTGTGAACATGGTTCTCAAGTCTTTCTTTTCTTTTTTTAGACGGAGTCTCGCTCTGTCGCCCAGACTGGAGTGCAGTGGCACGATCTCGGCTCACTGCAAGCTCCGCCTCCTGGGTTCACGCCATTCTCCTGCCTCAGCCTCCTGAGTAGCTGGGACTACAGGCTCCCACCACCACACCTGGCTAATTTTTTTTGTATTTTTAATAGAGACGGGGTTTCACCACGTTTGGCAGGATGGTCTCGAACTCCTGACCTTGTGATCCGCCCGCCTCGGCCTCCCAAAGTGCTGGGATTACAGGCGTGAGCCACTGCGCCCGGCCCTCAAGTCTTTCATAGAATCAGCCAGTAGAACTACCCGCTTCTTTTCTGAGTCACTGCTCAAGTGTCGGTAGTTCAGGAAGTGTCAAGGCACAGAGTTCCTGCCAAATATCTCAGTTTGCTGCACACCATGACGGTTGTGCATGATTCATTTATTAGGGAGACAGACCAGATGCGTGGGACGGCCCTGCTCACCATCAAGGCAGATCTGTGGGCAGACAGAGCATTGGGTTCTGCTGTGGGTTTTCATCGACCAGTGTTCCCTCTCTGACCATGGGAAAGCCACATGGGCAGTGCAGAAGGCATATCCCAGCCCTTCACTGGTATCATGTGCTGTGGCAACAGCCTTGGGGATTAGAACAGAGAAACCTGGGGAAACATTGGCCACTCAATGAGAAGCAAACTTGGAGGGTAGGAGGAAAGTCCTAAGGAGGGGTCAGGGAAGTATCCAGGCCATCAACTTTCAAAGTGCTCCAGGACATAATTTAGAAAGTCAATTGGCACACCTAGCCAGGAGTATATCTTGAGAAAGTAGTATTCTTTGAAGCCTCCTGAAGCCTGGGTTTTACCAACAGCCTAGTCCTGGCAAGATTCGGGGAGCTTGTACTTCACATACTCAACTTTCTGTTTCTAAAGGGAAAGGAGACTCTACCAAGCCTTTTTGGCCATCAGGCTGCTCTTCCAAAATTGTCTGGTGACTTAAGTGTAGGTGAATCAGAAACATGTGGATCAAATTTCCTGCTAAAATACACATGGGTTTGGCAATTAAAAGAAAATGTGTAGAATATGGCAGATTTGGTGGCCAGAAAGCCCCGTGAGAAGGCAAGGGCCACTGAAAATTATCATAACTATATAGTAAAAGAAAACTTGATTCCAAATGGGCACAGAGGAATCCATGGAGAAAGTTGGTAAGACATTTATGGGTGTCACACATCGGCTTCTGAAGGCCACAAGTAAAGGCAGGGTGTTTGCAAAGATTCTTGTAGAACCATGTCCTTGAATTTGGGTTTAAAAACTTATTAACTTATAAGTTGCAAAAGAAAGGCTCTTTTAGAAAAGAGCTGCTATAAGATGGGCTGAGTTAGAAAAACCTAACAGCCCATCCTAATAGACTGAATGTTCTATTGTTTGATGAATGTTATGTGCCAGTAGAACTTGTTGATAAGCCATTCTTCCGAACAGAAACCATAACTATATACACAGGAAACAAAAATATTTGTAATGGCTTTTAGCAGTGGCAACTGAACACCTGAGGAGTGAGACGCATCTTAATAAAGCCCATTTGGAAACTATAGTGACTTCCCCACAAGGTGTCACCTTCCTTGTTAGGACTCATCACGATACCATTCATTTATTCATTCAGCAGTAACTTATCAAGGATCTATTCTATGTGCCAAATACTGAGCTATATTCTGGGACTGGGGAGTCTTACTAAAGAGGTATAAGATATAGGCTCTTCCTTCATGGAGTTTAAAGCACATTTGCAACCATAAATATTCAGCTATTTGTACACTATTATTACACACTTGATCCCATGGCATCACAGTTTAACAGAGTAGTTAGATACAAAAACTTTGTAATTAGATTTGCATTTGACGGGTTCTGTGACTTACAAGTTGTGTGGCCTTGAGCAAATAATTCCATCTCACTAAACCTTAGTTCTTTCATGTAACCAATGGGAAAGGTAATACTTACCTTATCATATTGATGTGAAGATCCTGTGATGTGAAATTCCCTGCAATATGGCACCTGTGTTAAACCTCTATTTAGATGCCAAATTCAGAATTCATCAGATTTCAGGGCAAGAAACAAACTCTTTACTCTGGATATTTCCATATGAAAGGGATTTAATGCAAGGAATTATGTGCTTACAAAATTATTTAAAGACGTGGAGGAGCATGAGGCAGGGATCCACAGTTGGGTTTAACCAGTTCAAGGTCACGCACATAGCTGGAATCCAGAGGTCAGGAAATAGTGGTTGGTGTCACTGCCACCACCACATCACTACCAATGATGTGTGATACTCCCAAAGTCATTGTCTTGACACAAGAATGGTGAGTCTGCCTGCAGCTACCATCTCTCATAGCAGAAACAGCAGCAGAAAAATAGATGTTTTTCTTTCTCTTCCAACTTCAACATCTGTGGGAGTGCATCTATTTGGTGTTCCAGTTTGCTTCCAAAAGCCTGTCTCCTGAGGAGTCAGGTATCAGCTACATCAGGGGTTCCCAACCCCTGAGCCACCAACCAATACTGGTCTGTGGTCTGTTAGGAACTGGGCCATTCAGGAGGAAGTGAGCCCCGGTCGAGTGAACATTACGGCTTGAGCTCCGCCTCCTGTCAGATCAGTGGCAGCATTAGATTCTCATAGGAGTGCAAACCCTATTGTGAACTGTCCATGTGAAGGATCTAGGTTGCACACTCCTTATGAGAATCTAATGCCTGATAATCTGAGGTGGAACAGTTTCATCCCAAAACCATATGCCCCTTGCCATCCATGGAAAAATTGTCTTCCACAAAAATAGTCCCTGGTGCCAAAAACGCTGAAGACCACTGATCTACATTTTCCATATAGGGATAGCCAAAACCCAGGTAAGCTGAAGCTCTATGAAAATTCAAAGTAGAGCCCAGCTGTCTTGATCTCAGTTTTACCATCAATTTACTACCTTATAATAGCTCCAAAGGAGAAAAGTGAAAAACCGTAGAATTTTAGAGATCATTTTTTCCCGCCTTCCTGGTTGATAAAGTAAGAAATAGTGCTTGAAAGAAGATGAATAATCGCAGCACAGACGTAAACCAAACTCAAGCTTTATCATTAGGATTGACATAGGAACCATCCCCATGACATAGACCCCAAAAGTACAATGGTATGAATGAAAAAGGTGACAGCGGAGGCTGATCTTTATCATTTTTCACTATGCTTGGCTTTTTTGTTATTGTTGATTTTTGAGTTGGAATGTGAGCTTATTTATCCTCCACAGCTTTTGGAAGATTTCAGCCTGGCTCATCCTACGTTAGAGTGTCTGACAGGGGAATAACGCGTGGTATTTAGATGGCACCAGTTATCCAAGAAGGTCAAATTTCTTTGCAATTAGTCTGTCGTACTCCAGAAAGCCCTGAGAGACGAGACGTTGGGGTGTGAGAGAGGGAGTTATCTTCATTTAACAGCAGATAGACTTAGGAAGCGGCAGGGGCCAATGAAAAAGCAGGAACGAGAATGGAAAATGTCCCAACACTATCTCCCTTCCCCCACCAACAACCCAGGAAAAATTTTCCAAATCACTTTCTACATATGCCTTGACTGTTGATTCATCAAAGATGTCTTCAATAGATTCACAACTCAAACCACATTGCGGTATTTAAGTAAAGGGGAGCATTGAAAATGTGAATATAGTATTTCTTCTATTTTTGCAAATGGATGTGTTTGATACCAAACACTGTCAGCAGCTAATACTATTACTATGTTTGCTAATATGCTCAGATCAGCTGGGCACACAACCAAAACCCATAACATTCCTGAGTGAAGTATGATCAGATGCTCCCAAATGCAATTTGCCTTCTTCCCTCGCATCGTAAGAGAAAAGGCTTTTGTTGGATATGTTTTGTGAACACCAAAGAGAGTAAATAGCTTTTTGAAGAAGCCAAAGTGTTTTCCTCCTGATTCATTGTGAATGCCTGCAAGAGTGTTTCCTTTTAAGTTAAAACAATTTACGAATTCTTCCTACTAAATCAATCTACATATTTTTATCACTGCTATTTTTAATAAGTAACTTTTCTTTCTGAAAATTTATTTCACTTTGCCCCAACCTTTCTGTGATTCTTGGGAGACAAGAAACAGAGTTCATGTAAAACACTCTTGTTTATGATGGATGAAACCACAAACTTTGTGTGATGTTAACCCACTCACAGAAGGAGAATCTGAACTTCAGAGTATTTTGTGTTTGGAGAGAAGGCTCACTAAGGGAAATGGGCTCACTTCAATTCAATATATTATAGGAAGGAAAGGATCAAGGAAGAGCTGGTCTTAAAACTGTCAAAATATAAGAATTTGATGGGAAGAAAGAAGGAAAACAGAGCAGTTGGAAATGCAAAGATAAAAGAACTGGATCCAGACATGTCTATGTAATTTCCCAGGAATGGAAATTGTACTGGCAATTTGGAAAGAGATATCGAAAAACAATATACATTAAATGTTGAGCTTTTCTTGCAGCAATGCACTTGGAAGGCTCTTAGAACACATGGCATAATGGTATTATGATTCATCTACATATGGCCTGATCCTTGGTGACTGATGAAAGGGGAAACCAAGTTTCATAAGGAATCAAACACAGAAGAGGAAGCTAAACACTTTTTTAGAGAAAAAAACTCTTTTAAGCTTCTAGGTCATCAGCAGAGTATTAACTAACGCAGCCTACTAAATTTGCATTGGGATAGATCACATATGTAATTTCCTTTAATTCTTCAATAACCCTGTGACATAGGCATCATTTTCTCTGTTTCCTGATAGCCCAAGAGTTGCCATCTCTAAAGTTGCTTAGGTAGTTGGTGGTTGAGCTTAGATGCAAACAGAATTCTTTCCACCACACCAGTGATTGTCAAACCTGGCTGCTTATCAGAATCATCTGGAGAGCTTTGTAAAAATACAGATTCTTGGCCCAGGAAATTCTGATTCAGTAGTCTAGAGCAAGCTCTGGGGATCAATTTTTTGTTTTGTTTTGTTTCTCCAGTGACTCTGATACACAGTGAATTTGGGGAAACATTGCACACAATTGCAACCAGAAATGGTGTGAGAATGGGTGAATACAAAAGCCCCGGAGGGAAGGTTGTAGAACACAGGGACTCCACTGCTCTACGAGAAGCCTGCTAAACTACACCCAGCCATAAATAGTCTCACAAAAATCTACCAGATCTGAAAAACATGCTTCGACTTCACCTGAATTTATTTCTAAGGCCCCAGACATTCCTAATCAGCCCATCTCCTCCCAGATGGCTCTGCAAACCATTCCTATCGTTTGGAATTATGTTTTCAGAAGCCTCACAACCATGATAAAATGCTGTTGCCATAAGCATTTTCCTATCTCCTCAAGATGAATTAGATGAGCTACTTAGTCCTTCATCAATAAATTGTAAAGGGAGAGGCATTTGGAACTATGGATGCCCTTCAAATGTACTTGGCTAGTTACTTGCCTCTGTTTCCAAAAAGATTAAAACGTAAAAGAAATAAGTGGCAAAACGTGCATCATTCCTGGCCACATACCCAAATATTCTTTCTCTTATCCAATATGACTTTTTCCTTTGCATGCTTTTTCACCAGGCTAAGAAAACTAAAATATCTTTCTACAACAAATCCTTAAGGTTTCCCAGAAACACAAAGTAATGGTGCATTATTTATTTCTTAGGAAATTTTACCATGTTATTTTTAGCAGAGTGCATGTTACCCTGACACAGGCCATAAAACTTACTCACTTCTTTGGGGTCTGAGGAATGTCATCTTGTGACTGGTTTTACAGGGAGAACTTATCGGGGTGCAGTTGCAGTTTCCAGAGTGAGTCAGTGCCATCATTGCCTCCGCTGTTATTCAGTGGGTGGGGCACCTGGAGCACAGGAATGTGCTCTCTGATTCCACGACAAAACTAAGGACTGAGGCTCCCCTAGGCTCAGTTGTAGATTTTGAGGCTCTTGAGTTTCAGTTCTCCAATGAGTTCCAGGTAAAATGCAGAAACCAGGCCAGGCACCAATGGCTCATGCCTGTAATCCCAGCACTTTGGGAGGCCAAGATGAGTGGATCTCTTGCCCCCAGGAGTTCGAGACCAGCCTGGGCAACATGGTGAGACCCCATCTCTACGAAAAATACAAAAATTAGTGTGTGCCTATAGTCCCAGCTACTTGGGAGGCTGAAGTGGGCGGGTCATTTGAGCCTAGGAGGTCAAGGGTACAGTGAGCTGTGATCTCACCACTGCACGCCAGCCTGCTGGGTGAGAGTAAGAGCCTGTCTCAAAAAAAAAAAAAAAAAAAAAATGAAGGAGGAGAAATCAGAAACAGAAGCAAGGCAAAAAGGGGGCTAGAGCAAGGGTTATAACAGGAAGGAAAATAAGAACAGCTGCACTTTTAATCTATTCATTCAACAAAGGTCTGGGAGCATCTATGTACTCCAAGTGCCATGTAGAGGCCGGGGATTCAGTGAGCCACACAAAGACGGTTCTTGCCCCCACAGAGCTTACAGGCACGCGGAGGAAACAGACAAAAACCAAGCAAATCTACAAATTGCATAATTTAAAAATTTGGTAAGAGCCAGGAAGAAAGGGCGTTAGTCAAAGGAAGGACATGGCTTAGTATATAAGTTAAGAAATGTCCAGGCTGGGCACAGTGGCTCACACCTGTAATCCAGCACTTTGAGAGGCCGAGGAGGGTGGATCCCAAGGTCAAGAGATTGAGACCATCTTGGCCCACATGGTGAAATCCCATCTCTACTAATAATACAAAAAAATTAGCCGGGTGTGGTGGCACACGCCTGTAATCCCAGCTACTCGGGAGGCTGAGGCAGGAGAATCACTTGAACCTGGGAGGTAGAGGTTACAGAGAGCTGAGGTTGCGCCACTGCACTCCAGCCTGGTGACAGAGCAAGACTCCATCTAAAAAACAAAACAAAACAAAACAAACAAAAAAGCAAAAAACAAAAAAGAAGAAGTGTCCAGTGGCTTTGGGTCAGCATCGGTGAAAGTGGGGAGAGCAATAAAGAAGCAATTGCAACCTTTTAGGTGAGAAATGACCGTGACCTGGACTTGGGGATGGGCCGCGAAGAGTCAGGATGGACTCAAGACAGCTACTGGACTGCCACTGGCCGCGACACTTTGGAGAAACTCTAGCAGTTAGTTCTTCCGACACAGTTCCTACAGGTGACGGGATAAAAATAGAAGACAGCAGGGGAAATGATGAGGAGACCTGGAGCACTTTAGTTACGATTCAACTCAGCCTGTGCTAGGGCCACAGGGACTCAAAGAGGAGGAAGGAGACACTTTCTCCATGCAAGGAGTCTACATTTCATTGAAGAAGATGTGTCCAGCATACATGTAACTACAATAAAGGAAAAATATGACAAGAATAATAGAAAAGGCAGAAGGCTCTGAGAAGGAGGCTTGAGGTCAGAGTAGGAATTCAACCAGAAGAGAGAAGGGTGGGAACTTCTGAGGGGAGGGAGGAGCAAGAGCAAACGTGTGAACATGGTGGTCTGTGGTATGTGCTCAGCTCCTGCTGGGCTCAAATGTTGCATGTGCACAGAGAACATTAGCTGGAGACCATCAGGCTGGCACTGAACACCAGGGGCAGGAGTGGATGCTTGCTACTCAGCTGTGCACTCCTCTCATGTTCTTTTCTACATGTGTGCAATTGAATGTCTGTGTTATATGTGCGTATTAAAAGCGAACTCTCACCTTGAAATTCTTCTTAGTGGCAAGATTCTTTTCTCTAGATTGACAGTGCAGAGCTCACATAGTAATCACTGCTGTTAAAATAGATATTTAGGACTATAGAGTTAAAGCTTAAATACCATTTAAGGGAAGCTGCTGTTATCTGAAATAATTTGTCTTTCTTATTGAAAAGAACCAATACCCTCCCTCCCTCTTTCCCTCCTTCCCTCCCTTCCTTCCCTTTTTTCTTTCTTCCTTCGTTGGAAGAGTGGAAACATAACGAGGGGTTCTGGCTAGTGTCCTGAGGTGTTGGCTAGGTAAACTTTCTGGAGTTGCTCGTGCCAAGAGACCAGCACATACATTTCTCTAGGGGAAGTACATCCTAATTATTCCACAGACATCCATGGATCACTCTGGCTAGCAGAGTAGCACTGCAAAAATCATTACGATTTTTTTTTTTCAGAAAGTTGTTCTACTTTGGCTTAATGTCCACATGACCAAGAATCACACTTTACAGTCTTTAAGGGCCTATCCCATGCTCAGCCACTTTCCTACAAAATCGTGGCGACGTGGAAAGGCAGATATGTGCACCTGGGAGCTTCTAAGATCCTGTCTGCTCTGGCTGATGCAGTGACCAGAGTCACCAGAAACCCTCTGCTCCATCTGGGAGACCCAAGAGAGATCATCTGGAAGCTGGTATCTGGGGACACACTGCTACATTGTCCAGTCCAAAGTCCATCAGCTTTGTTTTCTTTCTCTGTCACACGAACAAGTAAAACAGAGTGTAGAAACAAACACTGCAGGCAAGGTTACCTAGTCTCCTTGAAAAGGTTTCCTTCCTACTGGCTAACTTTCAACCTAAGGGAAAATGCAGCTCGATGCTCAACTGGTAGATTTTCTTTCACATTTTATTATACATGTGCATATAAAGGAATTTCTCTTACTATTGGTTTCTTCCTTCTCTGATCCTCTCTCCAAAGGCACCACATTTCTCCAGAGAGTGTGTCCCAAATGCCTCATGTCTACGGAGTTCTTTGCAAACATTAATAGACAAATGGTTAGTTTATATAAAGCACACATGTATTGCTCTGACATAAGCAGTGAGGAGCCCACAGTTTACATTTTTCATCTTTCTTTTAAAAAGGAATGAGAAATCGTATTCCAGATGATCCAACCTATTACGCTACGAAGGGAAGAGTGGAGAGGGAACCAAGATTGAAAAGAGATTTAAATTTGGACCCTTTGTGAGCCAAGTGCAAATTGGTGTACAAGTTCACATTGATCTTTAGAAGGGAAAGCAGGTATTGAATTTGCTTTCCACCTTTAGCTCCATCCTTCTCTACCTTGAGAAGAAGCCCAAAATACTGAACTTACTTATAAGCTCCTAATTTTAAAGGTAGACTGATACAGGTTAGGTGCAGGGGCTCATGCCTGTAATTCCAGCACTTTGGGTGGTTGAGGCAGGCGGATCTCTTGAGGTCAGGAGTTCGAGACAAGCCGCGGTCAACATGGCAAAACCTTGTCTCCACTAAAACTACCAAAAAAAAATTAGCAGGGCGTGGTGGCGAGTGCCTGTAGTCCCAGCTACTCAGGAGGCTAAGGCAGGAGAATCGCTTGAACCAAGGAGGCAGAGGTTGCAGTGAGCTGAGATTGTGCCAATACACTCCAGCCTGGGTGACAGAGTGAGGCTCCCTCTCAAAAAAAAAAAAAAATGTATATATATATATAGAGAGAGAGAGAGACAGACAGACAGACAGAGAGAGAGAGAGATAGACAGAGAGAGACTGATACAGTCATTAATAACTAATGGCAATAAGGCAGGCTTTGGTTTTTGTAGGAAACCTCAAGACAGGCCATATGGGTTTTCTTTTTTTCTTTTTCTTTTCTTTTTTTTTCTTTCTTTTTTTTTTTTGAGATGGAGTCTCGTTCTGTCACCCAGGCTGGAGCGCAGTGGCGCAATCTCGGCTCACTGCAAACTCCACCTCCCGGCTTCATGCCATTCTCCTGCCTCAGCCTCCCGAGTAGCTGGGACTACAGGCGCCCGCCACCACGCCCAGCTAATTTTTTGTATTTTTAGTAGAGACGGGGTTTCACCGTGTTAGCCAGGATGGTCTCGATCTCCTGACCTCGTGATCCACCTGCCTTGGACTCCCAAAGTGCTGGGATTACAGGCGTGAGCCACTGTGCCCGGTGGCATATGGGTTTTCAATGGCCATGTGTTCAGCATTCTTTATGAGTAAACTCATGTGATATCGAAACCCATATTCCTCATATGTGTGTTCATATTTTACACAACCAAATGTTTTGACAATACCAACTATCAAATTATTTAAGTCATTTCGCACTTAGGAATAGTTTTCTTTCATGAAAAAATAGTGGTATTTGAATACCAGTTCTAACAGTGTATGGTGTAGACTCTTGTTCACAGTATAGAGGGTAGAAGCTCAGTGTATGGGGCTCAGGGGTCAGCAGCTGTCACTGCTTCATATAGCTGTGTGCCCTTGAGACAGTCATACAACCTCTCTAGACATCAGCTTTCTCATCTTTAAAACAGAACAAACAATAGTAGCAATTTCGTAAGAGTGTTAAGGTAATTAAATTAGATAATGCATATAAAGCCTCGTGTTTGGTACACATTAAGTAATTAATAAAAGGCCACTTTAAGAAATGTATGTATACACACACACACACACACATACACACACACATTGTTAATCCTATAAGAAAAAATAAAGTGTTATAGTATGTTATTCATACAAGAGAATATTATACTACTCTTAAACTGATATTTTTGAAGAATTTTAATAATGTCCGCAAAAATAATCAAAATATTAGGTTAAATTTAAAAGTTAAATAAAGCATCTTATTATATACAGCATCTTCTCTCTCTCTCTCTCTTTCTCTCACATACACATGCACACACATACACATGCACACACACATATACACACACTATATAATTAGAAGGAAATCCATATATGTACATATATATACAGTGTGTGTGAGCAAACAGTGGTTATTTGGGGATTGTGAGATTACGGCATACTTTTATTTTCTTTGTATTTTTCTCTATTTCCAAGTTTTCTGTGATGAGTTTGTAATATTTTTACAATAACTTCATGTTATAAAATATTTTATAAGATGTAATGAATCAGTCCAAGTGACATATTAGGAGAGCGGCAGCAAGAGCAAAATCACACGTATACTTCCATGCCTTCAAAAAAGGACACAAGAGTGAAAACGTGAATCCTAAAATGACTTCTGGTAAATAGCAGAGACATCAAGGAAACAAAGACTGGGAAGGGACTAAATAAGCCAAAAGTCAAAAAAAAAAAAAAAAAAAAAAAAGTGAGGAGCAGGATAGCCAGAGACAGCGGGGTAAAACCTTGCAACCTTCAGTTTAATAGGTACTTTCAACAGATCTTCCCCAAGGCACTAGCATTTTAAAATTGCATTAA
Organism: Homo sapiens; assembly: GCF_000001405.40. Classification (NCBI taxonomy): domain Eukaryota; kingdom Metazoa; phylum Chordata; class Mammalia; order Primates; family Hominidae; genus Homo; species Homo sapiens. The sequence goes on from NW_012132920.1 coordinate 2,230,655, forward strand.
AATGAGCTTTTTTCAAAGAGAAACCCTCCACCAAAAAAAATTTAGAAAATGAAGAACACAAGCTATAAGGGAAAACACAAAATTATTAACTGAATAAAGTCCCATCACATTTTTTTCCCAAGAGTGAGGTCACATCAAAGAGCTCAAAACAAATACATTCGGTATAAACCTTTCAAACGTAACAGGTTACCCTGTCTGCAGACAAAGGAAGGAGCCTTGTTTCACACAGACTCTGTTACATTTAGGCACTGGGTATGTGAATTTTGGCTAAGAAATACATTGCTGTCTCTGTCTTTCTGTCTTGTTTCACTCCCCAGTCTCTTGGATGGGAGTTTCAGCCTGTCTGACTACACATTTGGGCATCTTCTGGTCTCTTATTCTTAGCTTCTATCACTGCAGTGGAACCATTCTGAGAAGGGTAACTTTAGGTTAGCATGATTCTTGTAGTGCAGGCAAAAAAGAGCCAGAAGTGTTTGGTAAAACTGTTTACTGGTTTTACAAAAAAAAAAAAAAAAAAAAAAAAGTTGTTGTGCCATTTACTGGAAGGTATCACTCATTTTCTTTCCTGTCTTCCTCCTTCCCTTTCTCTCCCTTCTTTCCTTCCTTCCTCCCTCCATCCCTCTCTTTATCTCTTCCTCTATCTCTTTCTTTTCCCCTTATTTTCTTCTCCTCTCTTCCTCCCTTCCTTCCTTCTCCCTGTGCAAGTACTCATTTCATAGCTTTGTCAAGCATTTGCCGTGTGCCACCCCTGCGTTACCCAGAGTGAATATAAAGATACATAAGACCCGGTCGGGCGCGGTGGCTCACGCCTGTAATCCCAGGACTTTGGGAGGCCGAGGTGGGTGGATCACGAGGTCAGGAGATCAAGACCATCCTGGCTAACACGGTGAAACCCCGTGTCTACTAAAAACACAAAAAATTGGCCGGGCGTGGTGGCGGGCGCCTGTAGTCCCAGCTACTCGGGAGGTTGAGGCAGGAGAATGGCGTGAACCCGGGAGGCGGAGCTTGCAGTGAGCCGAGATCGCGCCACTGCAGTCCAGCCTCGGCGACAGAGCAAGACTCCGCCTCAAAAAAAAAAAAAAAAAAAAAAAAAAAAGATACATAAGACCCAGCAGACGCTGATATTAGACTTACTGTTTTATTGTGTTAGCTCCCAGTTGAACTCTAGTATCTATGCAGACACTGATGTTTATTAGGTGCCTGGCACTTTCACAGAGCTTGTTTTACTTAATTCCAGCATCTACCCAGAAGTGGGTGTTATCACCATTCCTATAATACAGATGGTTGAATTTCAGCCCAGAGGCTTTAAATACCTAATTGAGACATTCAGCTTCTAAGGGGAAGTATCAGGAATTTACTCTGACTTTCCTGACTCCGAGTTCCGTGCTTTTTCCCACTGTGCCAGAACTATTGACTGTGAAGGATTATGTTCACAGTTTGAAGCCTTCACCTTTTGATACTGCACTGCACGTGGAGTATATGCAATAAATATGTGCATGAAATAGGGCAAGAATTGTATTACAATGGTCCTGAATAACTCATTCCATATACCTGTATTTGGCAACATTGTCCAGAATTTTCACATGCACGTGCATTTTCCATACACAGGAAACTGGTTAGGCATACACCTCAGACAGGTCAGCAGACATACACACTTACATAAGGGCTTGTTTGCATTCTGAAAGCATGCCTACTCAGATTGGAGCTTGTTACAAAGAACACATGGGAAGCAAAAATGTTCAGTTTACAAATGATGCTCAAAATCACTCTTGAAATCATAATAGAAACATCACATTTGTTTTAAATTTGAGGGTTTAAAACATTATCAACATGTAGAGAGAGTTATCTAGCAAACACATCCATGTACCCATCACCCAGAAATTCAAATTGTCCACATTTTGTCATATTTCTTTCAAGATTTTTTTTAAGACATAAGATTTTTAAATGGTTTGTAATGTTGAAATTTCTTTTGTCGTCCATGCCTGATCCACCTCCTCCCCTCCTCATTCTGGTGAACATCATTAAAGGTATGGATTCCAAGTCACTATTTATCCATGCACATGACCATATGTTTCACAAGCAATTTATGCTATTTTTATATGTTTACTATAAAATACACATAATGGTATCATACTACTTATATCATTCTGCAGCTTCCTTTTTTTTTTAAAAAAAAGCATCTCTATGTTTTGAGCTCTATGTTAAAATATAAAAATCTAATCAATTTCTTTTATTAGCTATGTAGCATTTTGCCATATGAATAAAATAATTTCTTATGCCTTCTCCTATATTTGTTGATGGACATTAAGATTGTTACAAACAATACCTTGATAAACATGCTTATACAAGTTTCTAGTCCTCATACACACGTTCAAATTTTTCTAAGGTGTTTACCTAGAAGTGTAATGTCTGGGTGGCATACTAAGTGCATGTTTAATATTAATGCAAATTGACAAATTACTTTCTGAAATGATGGTACTAATTTACCCTCTCACTAGCAATGCATTTGCTTGCTTGCTTCTCTCTACCTTTTCCATTGCTGGATATTGTCAGACTTTTAGATCTTTGGTAACTTTGTAGATAAGCAACAGTATCTTCTCATTTCAGTTTATATTTCTCTGATTTACTGGTGTAATGTTGCATCTTTTTATATTTACTGGCTGTCCAGGTTTCTTTTTTGTGAATTACCTGCCCATGTGCTTTGGCCATGTGCAATTTTTTTTTCCTATTGGGTTATTTGTGGGGATTTTTTTCTTACTAACTTATAAGAAAAATTCATTCTGAATATGATCCATTTAACTGGTATTTGACTCTTGTAAATATGTTTTTACTTAATCATTATCAAGTTTATAGGTTAATACTTTTTTTCTTTAGAAAGGGCATACAAGGTCAGTTCCAACTGTGTAAAGGGCTTTATTCTTTTTTAATCCTATGCAAGACAGCATACGTAGTCTCTGCAATTGGATGAACAGCTGTAAATAGCTTTTGCAGATCTAAGTAAAAACTCTTCTCTAAAGGTCTTCAAAGTTATTCTCCAAACCTGGGGAGTAGCCCTCTTTTAGCTTCTTGGGGTTACAGAGAGGCTAGCACATTCCAAACACAGGTGGGCAAAAAAAGAGGAAATGGACTTTACTTTTACGAACCAGTGGCTGAGCAGAATCTACTCTTCTCACAACCTCAAAGTAGTTTGAAAGTACTTTCATTAAATAAAATTAATCATTTAGTGATCGTGGTTTAGGCATCATGGTTTAGGCATGACTACATCGAGTCATTCTACTTCTTCTCCCCTTACTAAAAGCAGGTTTTAGTTATGTAACCATGTTTAGAGCGGTCTAGGGAGTTTTTATCCTTATGCCTTCCTCCTGATTGGACAATGGTTTGCAAGAACTTGTTAGGAGCTGTGGAAACACAAATATTGGGCAAAAAACTTGTGTTTCTATATAAATATTTACAAACATACTAGACTATAAATTCTTTGAGGTGAGGGCCTGTGTTTATCCTATCCACGATGGTTATACCCTCAGCATTTGGTTCAGCTGACAATCTTAGTGGGAATGTGCTCAACATTCTCAATCCACAACTATTTATTGAATCTGAGTGCTGTGTTAGACAATCTATATTCTATGTGCTTCATGTAATCAAAGTGACCTAGACAAAATCCCTGCCCTTATGAACCTTACATTCTAGTGGCAGGAAATACTATAATGCCAGGGAGAAGGGAGAGAGAAATGAGAATGAAGAAAAATGATGCAGTGATGCATAGCCCTCTCTATCTCTTTGGGATACAGAGAGGGGGCGTGTGTTGTGGGGAGGAGGTGGGGGCTCTATTATAAAAAATATGGCCTGAGAAACTGCATGAGGAAGAGTCATCATGATTTGATACATGGAGATAGAGAAAACCACAGTGTCAGGGCTCCAAAAAAAAAAAATCACTTCCATTTTGGGAGGTAATTTCAGCTTCTTTGTATTTGATTTGGGGCAGTATATAAGTCTTGGGAAAAAAAGAAGTGACTAAAGCTTTTATTTTAGATGAGGAGGACTTAATGAATTTGTAAAATATGCTCCCTTTTGTGGGGAGAAGTACAGCAGTTTGCACGTTGGGAGAACAGCTGGCTCCAATACAGCTTGGTGGTGGGCTTCGACTGAACTGGTCATCGCCTAAGTATTTTGTGTATTTCTGATTACCTATCTCTCCAGGAGCCCACGTGAGCAAGACAGGTCTTCAAGCTGGTTCAATGCTCCCATTCTGTAGGCAACTACAAACTGTGGCTCACTGCATGACTTAACAACAACTGATTGAGAATTGTAAAGTGCAGCCTCGAGTTCATGTGTAGAAACTGCCATCTGCACAAACAAAACATTGAGAGGACTAAGATTTTAAGGATACTAATGCAGACGTCCTTCTTGCTTCATTTATTTAAAAATATCTATTTCACGTTCCTAACAGCATCTAGTAGATGTTTCTTGCTTCTTCCCCCTAACGCCGGACTAAAGAGAAAAAAAAAATAGGCTGTTTTCTGGTCTGGTTTTGTTTTCCTAGTCAAGTACTTAAATTACGGGTGTTTCGTAAGTATCTTTTGATGGATTTCATTGTTTTGTTTATTTCGCGTTAGACAATACAGACACCTTCATATTTCCTTCTGTAGCAAATCTTTTTCAAAGTCTTCATTTGACGTGGCTGATGGAGCTGGTCTGCAGATCTTGCAGACGTGTTAATTTTTGCACGGACTTTAGCTTCAACACACAAAACTTACGGCCTCTTTGAGGAACCAATTTTTCAGGCTAAGAGAACAAATGAAAGTGTTCGCTCATCTTTCGAAAACTATTTATGTACTTGGTATCCGGAATGTGACATTGGTTTTACACGTCGGTAGGTTTTTGTCCTAAATTTCTGGGAAGTTACTTCCTCATCTAACGTTTTATTTTCCTGACTTATTCGTCTTTGATATGCTACAGAAAACCCCTCTCGCCCAGTGGCTGTTTTCTCTCTGTCTCTTAAGATAATTTAGGAACAGAAGCCTTGACTTTTGACGGTCATTTAGTTTTATTCTCCTCCCGTGACTCCCCTCTGTACACTCACAGGGGAGGCCGCCGGCATCTGGGCTGAAAGAACCCTTGGCGGGCGAGGAGAGCAGGGTGTCATGTTGGCGACAGGCTCCTGCTGGCGGCCAGCGAGCCCGCCAGGTTAACGGGGGCGCCGGGGTCAGCGCCCTCGAAGTTGGGGGCCTCGGGCGGGGCCGCCGGGGAGCCACGACGGCCGCTCGACCAGAGCATCCCGCAGTCCCGTTCCCTCCAGAGGGGAAGAATGGCCGAATCTGGCACGATCCCACGGAGATCTCGCTCTTCCCAGCGCAGTCTCCGCTACTGAGCGCGGGACCAACGCAGGCGATGCCGGGCGGCCGACAGGGAAAGCCCAGACCTGGGGCAGAGAAGGAATGAGGGGCCGCCAGCCGGGGGGATTTCCTCCCGCTCTTCCCTCTCCAACGGGAGCGGAAAATGTGATTTGCTGTGCATTCCAGGCGCGGTTCCCTGGGGTGACCTCTCCCAGCCGGCCCGGGCGGGGGGAGCAGACAAAGAGGCGAGGCGGGCGGAGAGGGGACCCCGCGGGGAAGCAGGAGGGGTGCGGGGGGCGGGGGCAGTACCGGGAAAGGGGGCGGATAGCGGGTCTGGCGGCGGCGGCGGCGCCTGGCCAATGGAGAGGCGCGGCCCCGGGCGCCGCGCTCTGCCGCCGGCATTTAAACGGGAGACGGCGCGATGCCTGGCACTCGGTGCGCCTTCCGCGGACCGGGCGACCCAGTGCACGGCCGCCGCGTCACTCTCGGTCCCGCTGACCCCGCGCCGAGCCCCGGCGGCTCTGGCCGCGGCCGCACTCAGCGCCACGCGTCGAAAGCGCAGGCCCCGAGGACCCGCCGCACTGACAGGTGAGCGCGGACGCACCCGGCAGGGATGTGAGTGGGCGGAGGGAAGAGGGCCGCAAACCAACCCAGGACCCGCTCAGTTCCACGCGCGGCAGCCCTCCGTGCGCGCAGGCTCGGGTGCGTTGTTCGCGGGGGTGAATTGTGAAGAACCATCGCGGGGTCCTTCCTGCTGAGGCCGCGGACACCGTGACCTCGCTGCTCTGGGTCTGCAGGGAAACGTAGGAAAAAAAGTTGTCAGGAGCGGGCAGGATGACCCCCACATCCCGTTTCCACCTCCCGGAGGCCCCCGAACACGCTCCTGGTGCTGGTGGCAGCAGCGCCTGGCAGACGCGCCCGCTTAGCGAGGGCGCGAAGTCCAGGCCGCCAGAGCGCAGGAGCATCCGGACCTGCTAGTCGGCCGCTGACTGCGCGGCGAGTTGCCTTGAGAGGGTCCCATGTGCTTGGGGCGCCGCGCTGGGTCTGGGGGCGTCTTGGGGCGCCCATTGGAGTCCGCGGGTTGGAGCATCCGGAGAATCCATGATGTGTGCATTTGCCGATCCCCGAGGTGAGATGGAGACTGGCAAGGGCAGAGCCGCTGTGTTCAGCCACAGCGGAAAACCGAACGGTGGGTAATCCGACAGCTGCGGTGCGGGGCGCGGCCCTGGCCGCGGGGTCCAGCGAACCCGCAGTGCTCACAAGGCAGACACCACACGCGCTCGCGGACCGGCCACGCACTCGCGGGCGCTCGCTTCTCTACTCCAGCCTCTTCCCCGCCCCGCGCACGCCCGGGCTGAATGGTAGACGTTCTGGCGCCGGGCAGCGGCCACCGGCTGGTTCCCACTTCCGCGCGCACCCCTTAAACTGTGTTCTAGAGGCCCCAGCCTCGCCTTGCAGCGCCTCACTAGCTCCTGAGGACTAGGGACTGGCGGCTGAGGCGGGTTGGCGGCTGCAACGAGCTGGGCGTCTTTCGTTCTCTCTCGCTGCCTGGCTGGCTCCGCTGGCCCCTCCACAGCTTGCGGAGCAAGGCCATAGCAGGGGAGTGGGAGGTATATTGGGGCTGTCACCTCCTTGCTGGCCGGAGTTATTTGTAGACTACAGACTCCGGAAGAACAGACGCGCCACCGCTCTCGCTTGGCATTGCCTTCGGATCGCAGCTCCTCCTTGGGGGTGCCCCAGCTTGGCGTTTATTTGCCTGCGCCAGGCTCTGGCGACGGTCACCGGGCCAGGCGGGGAGGGACGGACGGCAGGTGACCAGCCTCTGCTGTGAAGAAATTCCTGCGCGCCCGGAGCTGTCCCTAATGCATTCCCGGGTCGAATCCGTCTACTGCCTTCCCCTCCTCGACCGACTCCGAATCTCGGCTCTTATAGACAGAAATACAGCCTCAGCGTTAGGGGTTAAAATCCCCCTCTTAAACGGTCCGAGGGCAGAGAGGTGACCACCGATAGGTAATTGGATCTCCTGCTGGAAAGAGCAAATCTGAGCGGTGTGCGCGTCTGTTTATGTTCCCCTTCGAGATGGTGCCAGGACACGAACTGATTAAAACAATCTATTGTGTTAAGTGGGTCACTAGGGTTTTAAGCTGTCCCAGGGACCCCAGAGTAGTGGCTTCCTTCTGGCTGTACACACAAGTTAAATAAATAGCGTAGAAGAGGTTAAGATAACCCCATTCTAGGGTGAGGAGTCCTCTTTCATCCCTAGGGCTTCCCCCTCCCCTTTTCTCTTTTTTTGGAAGGAGGGGGAGCATGAGAGTCTTGAGGGGGGGATGTACTTTTCAAAGCAAGGAGGGAAAGATCTTAAGAAAACTATATATTCTCACTGCCCCCCAAGCCAAGTCTATAACAGTAGGTGATTTGATTACTATCTCTGGATAAATGGCACTGTCAAATTGTTAATATTAACTATTTCAGGGATTTTTAGCAGGGTAGTGGCAGTATGTGTGCGTGTGTGTGTGTGTGTCTGTGTGTGTGTGTTTAACCTCCAGGTCATTGTAGGAATTAGAGTCTTTTGTAAACTTTGTAATTTCACAGGTTTCCTATTTTCTTAAAAGTTCATTTTTAGTGAAATGTTTTGGTAACCCACGCTCTGTAGGAAATCCAGGTTGGCTAATGCGGTCTTTATGTGAGTAGTTACACAGGGAAGGATAAAAACCTTTTATGTCCTACATCTCTGAATGAGGGCTGCCTACCCTGTCTTTGAAACTAAGCCGAAGATGCCTTCAGTCTGAATGGTCAAGTATTAAAAGTGATAAAATGCAAAGAAATTTCATGCCGCAGACACCTCCCCCAAGAACTGCTTGTTGACAGCAAAGCTGTGGAACATGTTCCACAACAGAGAGTAAAGGACAGCCAGGAAATATAAACCTTTTATGTAAAGGAAAGGCAGGTGGGGGACAGTGGTTAGGGGAGGTGACTGCAGCCTCTAACCAAAAGGCAACCATCAGGCAAGTGCTACCAGCCCGTGTCTTCGATCTGCAAGGAATTTTCTTTAGTTTTAACATATGCTCTTAGAAATTCAAAGTACAACAGGAATTCCTGGGACAAGAGAAATCTTTTTATTCACATGTGAACATGAAGATACAAAATAGATAATTATTTTATTTATAGCACTCTTCAAATTGTATTGCATTAGAAAACATATCCATTGACCCACTGTTAAGGACAGCACTGGGTGTCAATAGGACAGTGGTTAAGGACCTGTGTTTGGGGCTAGATAGAATTGGGTTTAAACTGCTGGCTGGGCTAGGCACAGTGGCTCACACCGGTAATCCCAGCACTTTGGGAGGCCAAGGAGGACGGATCACCTGAGGTCGGGAGTTCGACACCAGCCTGACCAACATGGAAAAATCCCGTCTCTACTAAAAACACAAAATTAGCCAGGCATGGTGGTGCATGCCTGCAATCCCAGCTACTTGGGAGGCTGAGGCAGGAGAATTGCTTGAAACCGGGAGGCGGAGGTTGTGGTGAGCCCAGATAGCGCCATTGCATTCCAGCCTGGGCAACACGAGTGAAAACTCCGTCAAAAAAACAAAACAAAACAAACAAACAAAAAAATGCTGGCTTTCCCACTTATGAGCTGTGTGACCTTGGACAAATTTCCAACTTTTCTGAGTGTAGATTCCCTGATTGGTAAAAGGAAGATGATATTATCTACCTCATATTTTGTTATGAAAAATAAATGATAAAATTGGGTCAGAAATCAGCATAATGCCTGGCACAGTAAGGGCTTCAAAATAAAAGGTAGCTCTTATTATTAGTAATGGTGTTAGGAAAAGTAGCAATGTTATACAGAACCAGGATATATCACAGGGCAGTTCTGAAATTAAATCCTGAATCCTGGCCGGGTGAGGTGGCTCACGCTTGTAATCCTAAGCACTTTCGGAGACTGAGGCAGGCGGATCACGAGGTCAGGAGTTTGAGACCAGCCTGGCCAAGACACTGAAATCCCGTCTCTACTAAAAATACAAAAATTAGCTGGGTGTGGTGGCAGGCGCCTATAATCTCAGCTACTTGGGAGGCTGAGGCAGGAGAATCACTTGAGCCCAGGAGGCGGAGGTTGCAGTGAGCTGATATCGTGCCAGTGCACTCCAGCCTGGGTGACATCTCTTAAAAAAAAAAATCCTGAATACCACACTACGCAGTGACTAACACATCTTTCACTACAGAACAGAACCTGTAACTTGGCCGTCTCTCAGCAGTGCTGCTCAGTGAACATTTAATAATTTATTACTTTCTAACTCGTTTCTTGTTGACCTCAAGAATTGTACATAGTCATTAACTTTCCTAAGAAAATCTTTGACAAACATAGAGCTCCTGAGATATTTCACAACCAGGTGGTCTCCTCCCTGTCCTATGCAATGTTGGGCCCCAGCCTGATTTAGCCGACCTGGTCTTCAGACTTGAGAGGCTGTTTAGGGTTCTTACAACACAAAGGGGATGAGACTTTATCCTCTACCTGTCTGCCAACAAGGGATTCTTCTTATCTCCTTGGTGCAACTTGTCTGAAAAAGAAAGTCAACACAATTATCTTCTTAAAAGTTAAAGATCAAATTAAAAATAAGCTATAGTTTTCCCAAAGATTTAGACCTGAGAAAAAGGAATAGATCTTTCTAAAACCTGGCCTGCACTTAGAGCATTTGTAGTCACTTCCACTATTTCTTATGCTGAGAGAATAATTTGATGTCATGCCTATTGAATGTCTTTCTAAAGCTTGATTCATCAGGAGGAACTGACCAGAAGTCCATGCACAGACATTTGGCTTTCACTGTAATTCCTACTCAAAACTCCCTTTCACTGATTATGAGCAGGTTGCTTAGCTAAAATGAGAAATACAGCAAGAAGAGGGATGGAAAGAGCTGGCTTAAACTTTCCCAAAGACATCATGAACACTGGGAACAGGTCATACATATACCATTTTTATTTCTCAGTCCTCAGTATTAGAATATTGTGTTCCTAGAGGCTTTGTGAAAATTGGAATACATTGCCATGACCTGCACAGGATAGAGGTGGTTAATATGGCTTACCTTGCTTGTAGATGTTTACTCTTGATCCCTAAGGGAAACTGGAAGGAAAGCATGCTGTAGAGAGGACCTGCTTTGAGAGTATGTGTCCTCTGGGACAAGTGGAATGAAAGAGAGGATAGAGGCAAAGAGAAAAAAAGGTGGAGATGGGGTGAGACTTGCTGGTGGACAGTTGCAAAGAAAACTCATGATGAGAATAACATCACATTTCTTGAAGAAGCTGAACTGCATTGATGGGAAGTTGAGGCAGAGTTTGAAAAGAAGATATACTGTCTGCAAAAAAGAATCAACGGAGATGTCAGGTATCTTGATGCACCCTGAGTCTATGAGATGCAGCTTAATTTAATTTAGTGATATGAGTAGGCCATTTCATAAGTGGTGGAAATTACCATAAAGTGTTTGCAGCTAATGACGGCGCATGAATGATGTCATAGGAACCTAAGTCTGGATGAGCTATGGATTGAATTTTTACTATGGGACACCCTTCTACATGTTGCTGTGGAAAAGAATTGTCCTCAAGAAATGTACATCTTCTGCATTTCCTCTACATCTCTGATATTTACAAAGTGCACATTATTTGGTGATACTACAACTGGGATTTCAAGTGCACATCACTACTATTTCCTTCACTGAAGAATCAAGAGCAGTCTGGGGGTGGGGAGAGCTTGAGTGATTGACAAGGATGTGGCAGAGCCCTGGTTCCACTATGAATTATAGTTCTTACCCTGCTTACTGTCACTCATGTAGAGCAGCTAGTGTGCCTCAGAGCACTGCTGTTCTCTGAGAAGCTGAGGTCTCGATTGACATTCTTGAAGTTGGTGTTTACTTCTCTCTGAATAAACAAAGGTTGGCAACTCAGACATCTTACAATAAGTACTAAAGATTTTTGAAGAATAGGTTTTTAAAAAATGAAAAAACATTTCACTTTCCATAGCTAATAAATCTTATTTTGAGGAAAATGTACTTTTCTTTAAAAAAAAAAAAAAAGCCTGTCTGTCACTCTAGACCCTTTGGCTTAGAAGGTAGGCACACTCACATAGAAACAGAAAGTCTGTCCAAATTAAAACTGAAAACCACAGTTGACTAATTTTGAATTTATAGCTCTGCTGTTGGCTTCTGCGATAGTATTAATTTCAATGGCTTCAATTAGAAAATGAAACCCATAGCATTCCATATGAGAACAGGTAAAAAGTCAGGGACATTTGGAGTTTTCCAAGAAAAAGAAAGACAAGTCTTAGGAAGCTCTCTAGGATGGAAGGAATTTGCCACACTGAGAGTTAGACATCCAAAGGATAGCAATTGGCTCTTCTGCTCATGGGCACTGGTGAAGGCATTTTAAAATGCGAAGAATGGTACCTCTGTAAATCAATGAGGTTCATAATAATCATGCATTTACCAAATTTTTATAAGCACCTGCCTTGTGCCAGGCACTGAGGGTAAGGTGATGAATAAGCCCTCATCAACTGTCAGACTAGATATTTACTCAATAACAGATGTGAAAATGCCAAGAAGGAAAAGTTGAGTATAAAGAAAGCCTTAAGTTGGTTCAGAGAAATAAAATTGCATTTTTCGGATAGATGTTTATGGAATCGGCCTTATGAGGTAAACTTGTCCTATGCAGTGAACATACATTCCCAGTTAGTCTCAGATTGGCCTCTGTGATGACAAACTCAGAGGGTCCTGGTCTAGGAGGGGTGAATTTGTCTGGAGGCCATTTTCAGGAGGTATGGAGGAAGACTGGGGCATAGGCCTGGGGCCATCCCATGTACTCCTCCTCTGAAATGGGGAGCAACTGAATTGTGTTTTATTTTAGATCTTCGTCCAACTTGAATACCAGAAATTCGTGAAACCTTCTCAAATTCACACTATATTTTGAGACCAGGAGAAGGCTCCTTGAGAAATTGCCACACTGTCTTATCCTAGTCTCTGGAAAAATTCAGTCCTGTATTATAACTGGGCGTTTCTCATAAGTGCTTTTTTTTTTTCTTTTTCTTTTTATAATACTTTAAGTTCTGGGATACATGTGCAGAATGTGCAGGTTTGTTACATAGGTATACACGTGCCATGGTGGTTTGCTGCACCCATCAACCCATCATCTACATTAGGTATTTCTCCTAATGCTACCCCTTCCCTAGCCCCCCACCCCTCGACAGGCCCCAGTGTTTGATGTTCCCCTCCCTGTGTCCATGTGTTCTCATTGTTCAACTCCCACTTATGAGTGAGAGCATGCGGTGTTTGGTTTTCTGTTCCTGTGTTAGTTTGCTGAGAATGATGGTTTTTGGCTTCATCCACGTCCCTGCAAAGGACATGAACTCATCCTTTTTATGGCTGCATAGTATTCCATGGTGTATATGTGCCACATTTGCTTTATCCAGTCTATCATTGATGAGCACTTGGGTTGGCTCCAAGTCTTTGCTATTATGACTAGTACTGCGATAAACATGTGTATATGTGTCTTTATATTAGAATGATTTATAATCCTTTAGGTCTATACCCAGTAATAGGATTCCTGGGTCAAATGGTATTTCTGGTTCTAGATCCTTGAGGAATTGCCACACTGTCTTCCACAACGGTTGAACTAATTTACACTCCCACCAACAGTGTAAAAGCATTCCTATTTCTCCACATCCTCTCCAACATCTGTTGTTTCCTGACTCTTTAATGACGGCCATTCTAACTGGCGTGAAATGGTATCTCATTGTGGTTTTGATTTGCATTTCTCTAATGACCACCGATGATGAGCTTTTTCTCATATGTTTGCTGGCCCCATAAATGTCTTCTTTTGAGAAATGTCTGTTCATATCCTTTGCCCACTTTTTGATGGGGTTGTTTGCTTTTTTCTTGTAAATTTGTTTGAGTTCCTGGTAGATTCTGGATATTAGCCCTTTGTCAGATGGATAGACTGCAAAAATTTTCTCCCATTCTGTAGGTTGCCTGTTCACTCTGATGGTAGTTTCTTTTGCCATGCAGAAGCTGTTTAGTTTAATTAGATCCAATTTGTCAGTTTTGGCTTTTGTTGCCATTGCTTTTGGTGTTTTAGTCATGAAGTCTTTGCCCATGCCTATGTCCTGAATTGTATTGCCCTGGTTTTCTTCTAGGATTTTTATGGTTTTAGGTCTTACATTTAAGTCTTTAATCCATCTTGAATTAATTTTTGTATAAGGTGTAGGGAAAGGGTCCAGTTTCAGTTTTCTGCGTATGGCTAGCCGGTTTTCCCAACGTTATTTATTAAATAGGGAATCCTTTCCCCATTGCTTGTTTTTGTCAGGTTTGTCAAAGATCAGACGGTTGTAGATGTGTGGTGTTATTTCTGAGGCCTCTGTTCTGTTCCATTGGTCTGTATATCTGCTTTGATACCAGTACCGTGCTGTTTTGGTTACTGTAGCCTTGTAGTACAGTTTGAAGTCAGGTAGCGTGATGCTTTGTTCTTTTTGCTTAGGATTGTCTTGGCTATATGGGCTCTTTTTTGGTTCTATATGAAATTTAAAGTAGTTTTTTCATAGACATCTATAGAACTCTCCACCCCAAATCAACAGAATATACATTCTTCTCAGTATCGCATCGCACTTATTCTAAAATGACCACATAATTAGAAGTAAAACACTCCTCAGCAAATGCAAAAAACAGAAATCCTAACAGTCTGTCAGACCCCAGTGCAATCAAATTAGAACTCAGGATTAAGAAACTTACTGAAAACCACACAACTGCATGGAAACTGAACAACCTGCTCCTGAATGACTACTGGGTAAATAACAAAATTAAGGCAGAAATAAATAGGTTCTTTGAAAGAAATGAGAACAAAGACACAATATACCAGAATCTCTGGGACACAGCTAAAGCAGTGTTTAGAGGGAAATTGATAGCACTAAATGCCCACAGGAGAAAGCGGGACAGATCTAAAATCGACACCCTAATATCACAATTAAAAGAACTAGAGAAACAAGAGCAAACAAATTCAAAAGCTAGCAGAAGACAAGAAATAACTAAGATCAGAGCAGAACTGAAGGAGATAGAGACACAAAAAACCCTTCAAAAAATCAATGAACCCAGGAGCTGTTTTTTTTTTTTTTTTGAAAAGATTAATGAAATAGACTGCTAGCCAAACTAATAAAGGAGAAAAGAGAGAAGAATCAAATAGACAATAGACACAATAAAAAGTGATAAAGGGGATATCACCACTGATCCCACAGAAATACAAACTACCATCAGAGAATACTATAAACACCTCTACGCAAATAAACTAGAAAATTGGGAAGAAATGGATACATTCCTGAACGCATACACCCTCCCAAGACTAAACCAGGAAGAAGTTGAATCCCTGAATAGACCAATAGCAAGTTCTGAAATTGAGGCAGTAATTAGTAGCCTACCAACCAAAAAAAGCCCAGGACCAGACAGATTCACAGCCGAAGTCTACCAGAGGTACAAAGAGGAGCTAGTACCATTCCTTCTGAAACTATTCCAAACAATAGAAAAAGAAGGACTCCTCCCTAACTCATTTTATGAGGCCAGCATCATCCTGATACCAAAACCTGGCAGAGACACAACATAAAAAAGGAAATTCAGGCCAATATCCCTGATGAACATTGATGTGAAAATCCTCAATAAAATACTGGCAGCACATCAAAAAGCTTACCTGCCATGATCAAGTTGGCTTCATCCCTGGGATGCAAGGCTGGTTCAACATACGCAAATCAATAAACGTAATCAATCACATACACAGAACCAATGACAAAAACCACATGATTATCTCAATAGATGCAGAAAAGGCCTTCGATAAAATTCAACACCCCTTCAATGCTAAGAACTCTCAATAAACTAGGTATTGATGAAACATATCTCAAAATAATAAGAGTTATTTATGACAAACCCACAGCCAGTATCATACTGAATGGGCAAAAGCTGGAAGCATTCCCTTTGAAAACCGCCACAAGGATGACTTCTCTCACCACTCCTATTCAACATACTATTGGAAGTTCTGGCCAGGGCAAGCAGGCAAGACAAATAAATAAAGGGTATTCAAATAGGAAGAGAGGAAGTCAAATTGTCTCTGTTTGCAGATGACATGATTGTATATTTAGAAAACCCCATCATCTCAGCCCAAAATCTCCTTAAGCTGATAAGCAACTTCAGCAAAGTCTCAGGATACAAAATCAATGTGCAAAAATCACAAGCATTCCTATACACCAATAATAGACAAACAGCCAAATCATGAGTGAACTCCCATTCACAAGTGCTACAAAGAATAAAATACCTAGGAATCCAACTTACAAGGGATGTGAAGGACCTCTTCAAGGAGAACTACAGACCACTGCTCAAGGTAATAAGAGAGGACACAAACAAATGGAAAAACATTCCATGCTCATGGATAGGAAGAATCAATATTATGAAAATGGCCATACTGCCCAAAACAATTTATAGATTCAATGCCATCCCCATCAAGCTACCACTGACTTCCTTCACAGAATTAGAAAAAAACTACTTTAAATTTCATATGGAACTGAAAAAAGAGCCGGTATAGCCAAGACGATCCTAAGCAAAAAGAAAAAAGCTGGAAGCATCATGCTACCTGACTTCAAACTATACTACAAGGCTACAGTAACAAAAACAGCATGGTATAGTATAAGTGCTTTTTTTTAAAAGACAAAGTAAAGTAATTTTTTTGTTGTTGGGGTAAAACAAAAGCTCTGCATAAAGAGCAGGGATGTTGTAACATACACTGACCAAAGGTGGGAAACCTACAGTTGGAGCAGAAGCTGAATGTCACATTATCAGCTCCGAACTTATAATGGTCTAAAAGTACTAGGTTAATGTTGGAAAGATGGTGCCATTTAAAGATATCTTAAATTCAATATTTAATTATTTTAATTTGACATTATCCTAGAGTTGAATGGTGTTTACTTACCATGTGCTGTTCATTAGAAAATCTAGATCCTACACTGCCTTTGCGCAAGGTAGTTGCTCTAATAATACCAACCTGTCCAGTTTTGGTGGGAGAAATAATGTTACTGTTAAGTTGCACTTAGTGGTTATTATGTGTAATACTGGTATTCCAAAGAGAGAAGGAAAATGTTTGCTACACAGCTGTGTTCTTAGGTTCAGAAAACCACAGGAGTGGGACAGGAGAACCTTCAGGATTCAGGTCCGATTGTTGTGATGGCCGCAGGAGGGAGACTGTGAATTTGAAACTGCATCCATTGAAAAGAAAATCCCTCCACACTTTAATAATTCTCTCCGTGCCCCATGGCAGCAAGTGCTTATAGGCCTTGCTACTCAAAGCTTAATAAAAAGGCAGACCTGCTGAATCATAATCTGCATCTTAACAATATCCCCAGATATTGTCTGCACTTTCTTTTTTTTTTTCTTTCTTTCTTTCTTCTTTTTTTTGAGACAGAGTCTCGCTCAGTCACCCAGGCTGGAGTGCAGTGGCGCGATCTCGGCTCACTGCAAGCTCTGACTCCCGGGTTCACGCCATTCTCCTGCCTTAGACTCCCGAGTAGCTGGCACTACAGGCGCCCGCCACTACGCCCGGCTAATTTTTTTGTATTTTTAGTAGAGATGGGGTTTCACCGTGTTAGCCAGGATGGTCTCGATCTCCTGACCTCGTGATCCGCCGCCCATCTGGGCCTCCCAAAGTGCTGGGATTACAGGCGTGAGCCACTGCGCCCGGCCAATTGTCTGCACTTTCAAGTCTAAGAAGCACTGTCCCAGGAGGAAAATCTTTTTAGTCTGTCTGAGGCTTCTCTCTTGCACTCTCCTTTTTAAAAATATGCTGCTCCTTCTCCACCTTTCCCTCTTCTTCCGCCTTTTCTGTCTGCCTTTACTACCTCCCCTGAACATTCAACTTGTAGAAGAGTTCCCCTTTCTCTGAATTGCATTCTTCACTTCATTCATTCTTTTCTCTCTCTGTCTATGGTTTCCTATTTTTTGTCGGTTTTCCCTCACCTCACCTCCTTGTTATTTTTTGCCATTGTTCACATATCACTGCCCTTTCAGACCCATATCTAGCTTCTGACCCATCCACTAATCCATTGCCACTAATTTATTCAGCATGCCCATGCCATTTATTAATGTAAATATTTGCACATACTTGTTCTATCATGCCCATTTTTCTACCTTTTAAATTGTATATACACAGACACATGTGAATGACATATTTCACTATTTAAAAGGTAGAAAAATGTATATCGTGGTACAAAGTGATACATTGAGTATCTGTGCCCAGTTTCAAGATGAGAATAAGTGAGAGGTGAAGCCTCATGAGTCACGTCACCTACACGCTACTGTCTTTCATTCCATCTGCAGTACTGCCACACATTTGGTTAGTTCTCCAATTGCTGTCACATTGACATCGAGTTGGATCTGAACAGCGTACCTGGGGAGACGAAGTATTGGTATCTTTGCTTAAATGGAGTGATTTACTGAGAGACAAAGTGACATCTTTAAGATCAGATAGCAAGTTACTGCACCAGGAGCGCGACCTTTCCTGTTTTGTTGTTTTCCCTCTGTCAAATGCCTTCTGGTCTCCATGAATCTCTCCTTCCACATATGATAAAAATGCAAAGTCTCATAAGCATTCACAGCTCAGGAAGCCTCAGGCTAGTTGGGGAGAAAAGACTGGGAGGTTTCCGGAGGAATGAAGTCCTCTGAGCAGAGAGGTTAATTCATCTTGCTGTAAAACAAAATAGAAAATAAGTTCCCCTCAATAAGTGAACGTAATACAAAGACAAATGTGGTTGGTGCCAGAGGCCAGGAAGAAGTTCTTGTGAGAATAGGTGCAGAGAAGAGCTAGGCCCTGGCTGAGTTTAAACCTTGACTTAGTCACTGTGGGACTCTGGGTGAGTTACTCCATGGATTGATGGCTGGGTCATGGAGATAATAGTACCTAATTCATACAGGTACTGTGAGAAGTAAATGGAATATTTCACGTTAAGTGTTTAACGGTGCGTTTAAATGCTAGGTGCTATTATTATTAATTTTTAAATTAACTTTGCCATGTTTTGTGTCTTCCCCTCTCTGTGCTTCCTTTCTTTAGTATGAGCCGCACAGCCTACACGGTGGGAGCCCTGCTTCTCCTCTTGGGGACCCTGCTGCCGGCTGCTGAAGGGAAAAAGAAAGGGTCCCAAGGTGCCATCCCCCCGCCAGACAAGGCCCAGCACAATGACTCAGAGCAGACTCAGTCGCCCCAGCAGCCTGGCTCCAGGAACCGGGGGCGGGGCCAAGGGCGGGGCACTGCCATGCCCGGGGAGGAGGTGCTGGAGTCCAGCCAAGAGGCCCTGCATGTGACGGAGCGCAAATACCTGAAGCGAGACTGGTGCAAAACCCAGCCGCTTAAGCAGACCATCCACGAGGAAGGCTGCAACAGTCGCACCATCATCAACCGCTTCTGTTACGGCCAGTGCAACTCTTTCTACATCCCCAGGCACATCCGGAAGGAGGAAGGTTCCTTTCAGTCCTGCTCCTTCTGCAAGCCCAAGAAATTCACTACCATGATGGTCACACTCAACTGCCCTGAACTACAGCCACCTACCAAGAAGAAGAGAGTCACACGTGTGAAGCAGTGTCGTTGCATATCCATCGATTTGGATTAAGCCAAATCCAGGTGCACCCAGCATGTCCTAGGAATGCAGCCCCAGGAAGTCCCAGACCTAAAACAACCAGATTCTTACTTGGCTTAAACCTAGAGGCCAGAAGAACCCCCAGCTGCCTCCTGGCAGGAGCCTGCTTGTGCGTAGTTCGTGTGCATGAGTGTGGATGGGTGCCTGTGGGTGTTTTTAGACACCAGAGAAAACACAGTCTCTGCTAGAGAGCACTCCCTATTTTGTAAACATATCTGCTTTAATGGGGATGTACCAGAAACCCACCTCACCCCGGCTCACATCTAAAGGGGCGGGGCCGTGGTCTGGTTCTGACTTTGTGTTTTTGTGCCCTCCTGGGGACCAGAATCTCCTTTCGGAATGAATGTTCATGGAAGAGGCTCCTCTGAGGGCAAGAGACCTGTTTTAGTGCTGCATTCGACATGGAAAAGTCCTTTTAACCTGTGCTTGCATCCTCCTTTCCTCCTCCTCCTCACAATCCATCTCTTCTTAAGTTGATAGTGACTATGTCAGTCTAATCTCTTGTTTGCCAAGGTTCCTAAATTAATTCACTTAACCATGATGCAAATGTTTTTCATTTTGTGAAGACCCTCCAGACTCTGGGAGAGGCTGGTGTGGGCAAGGACAAGCAGGATAGTGGAGTGAGAAAGGGAGGGTGGAGGGTGAGGCCAAATCAGGTCCAGCAAAAGTCAGTAGGGACATTGCAGAAGCTTGAAAGGCCAATACCAGAACACAGGCTGATGCTTCTGAGAAAGTCTTTTCCTAGTATTTAACAGAACCCAAGTGAACAGAGGAGAAATGAGATTGCCAGAAAGTGATTAACTTTGGCCGTTGCAATCTGCTCAAACCTAACACCAAACTGAAAACATAAATACTGACCACTCCTATGTTCGGACCCAAGCAAGTTAGCTAAACCAAACCAACTCCTCTGCTTTGTCCCTCAGGTGGAAAAGAGAGGTAGTTTAGAACTCTCTGCATAGGGGTGGGAATTAATCAAAAACCTCAGAGGCTGAAATTCCTAATACCTTTCCTTTATCGTGGTTATAGTCAGCTCATTTCCATTCCACTATTTCCCATAATGCTTCTGAGAGCCACTAACTTGATTGATAAAGATCCTGCCTCTGCTGAGTGTACCTGACAGTAGTCTAAGATGAGAGAGTTTAGGGACTACTCTGTTTTAGCAAGAGATATTTTGGGGGTCTTTTTGTTTTAACTATTGTCAGGAGATTGGGCTAAAGAGAAGACGACGAGAGTAAGGAAATAAAGGGAATTGCCTCTGGCTAGAGAGTAGTTAGGTGTTAATACCTGGTAGAGATGTAAGGGATATGACCTCCCTTTCTTTATGTGCTCACTGAGGATCTGAGGGGACCCTGTTAGGAGAGCATAGCATCATGATGTATTAGCTGTTCATCTGCTACTGGTTGGATGGACATAACTATTGTAACTATTCAGTATTTACTGGTAGGCACTGTCCTCTGATTAAACTTGGCCTACTGGCAATGGCTACTTAGGATTGATCTAAGGGCCAAAGTGCAGGGTGGGTGAACTTTATTGTACTTTGGATTTGGTTAACCTGTTTTCTTCAAGCCTGAGGTTTTATATACAAACTCCCTGAATACTCTTTTTGCCTTGTATCTTCTCAGCCTCCTAGCCAAGTCCTATGTAATATGGAAAACAAACACTGCAGACTTGAGATTCAGTTGCCGATCAAGGCTCTGGCATTCAGAGAACCCTTGCAACTCGAGAAGCTGTTTTTATTTCGTTTTTGTTTTGATCCAGTGCTCTCCCATCTAACAACTAAACAGGAGCCATTTCAAGGCGGGAGATATTTTAAACACCCAAAATGTTGGGTCTGATTTTCAAACTTTTAAACTCACTACTGATGATTCTCACGCTAGGCGAATTTGTCCAAACACATAGTGTGTGTGTTTTGTATACACTGTATGACCCCACCCCAAATCTTTGTATTGTCCACATTCTCCAACAATAAAGCACAGAGTGGATTTAATTAAGCACACAAATGCTAAGGCAGAATTTTGAGGGTGGGAGAGAAGAAAAGGGAAAGAAGCTGAAAATGTAAAACCACACCAGGGAGGAAAAATGACATTCAGAACCAGCAAACACTGAATTTCTCTTGTTGTTTTAACTCTGCCACAAGAATGCAATTTCGTTAACGGAGATGACTTAAGTTGGCAGCAGTAATCTTCTTTTAGGAGCTTGTACCACAGTCTTGCACATAAGTGCAGATTTGGCTCAAGTAAAGAGAATTTCCTCAACACTAACTTCACTGGGATAATCAGCAGCGTAACTACCCTAAAAGCATATCACTAGCCAAAGAGGGAAATATCTGTTCTTCTTACTGTGCCTATATTAAGACTAGTACAAATGTGGTGTGTCTTCCAACTTTCATTGAAAATGCCATATCTATACCATATTTTATTCGAGTCACTGATGATGTAATGATATATTTTTTCATTATTATAGTAGAATATTTTTATGGCAAGATATTTGTGGTCTTGATCATACCTATTAAAATAATGCCAAACACCAAATATGAATTTTATGATGTACACTTTGTGCTTGGCATTAAAAGAAAAAAACACACATCCTGGAAGTCTGTAAGTTGTTTTTTGTTACTGTAGGTCTTCAAAGTTAAGAGTGTAAGTGAAAAATCTGGAGGAGAGGATAATTTCCACTGTGTGGAATGTGAATAGTTAAATGAAAAGTTATGGTTATTTAATGTAATTATTACTTCAAATCCTTTGGTCACTGTGATTTCAAGCATGTTTTCTTTTTCTCCTTTATATGACTTTCTCTGAGTTGGGCAAAGAAGAAGCTGACACACCGTATGTTGTTAGAGTCTTTTATCTGGTCAGGGGAAACAAAATCTTGACCCAGCTGAACATGTCTTCCTGAGTCAGTGCCTGAATCTTTATTTTTTAAATTGAATGTTCCTTAAAGGTTAACATTTCTAAAGCAATATTAAGAAAGACTTTAAATGTTATTTTGGAAGACTTACGATGCATGTATACAAACGAATAGCAGATAATGATGACTAGTTCACACATAAAGTCCTTTTAAGGAGAAAATCTAAAATGAAAAGTGGATAAACAGAACATTTATAAGTGATCAGTTAATGCCTAAGAGTGAAAGTAGTTCTATTGACATTCCTCAAGATATTTAATATCAACTGCATTATGTATTATGTCTGCTTAAATCATTTAAAAACGGCAAAGAATTATATAGACTATGAGGTACCTTGCTGTGTAGGAGGATGAAAGGGGAGTTGATAGTCTCATAAAACTAATTTGGCTTCAAGTTTCATGAATCTGTAACTAGAATTTAATTTTCACCCCAATAATGTTCTATATAGCCTTTGCTAAAGAGCAACTAATAAATTAAACCTATTCTTTCTGTGTGTGTGAGCGTGCGTTTGTGTTTGGTAGTGTTCCTAGGGCAGAGGTGGAGCAGGGATGCACTTATCATGGGAAGGGAGGTAGAAAAGAGAATTGGATAGCCTGTGATCTTTGGTGGAATTTATTCCTTTTGCCTAGGCCTTTCAGACCCTGCTTGATTTCCGTAGGACACTTCAGGTTGTGGCAAGGGAGAGCTGGTCTGCAATCGGAAGTACCAGCCTCTTCCCTAGAGCACAACTAGAAAGAAGAACTATAGAGTGTTATAAGGGAGGCCCTGAGATGGAAGGACCATCACACAGAAATGATAATATCTTCATTTCAGGGTGTTCCAGGGGAAAAGCAGGAGAAAGATTTGGGGCTCAGTAGAAGGAAAAGCTTCCTAGTGGTAAGAGTGATTGGCAATACCATGAGGTACCTTTAAAAGATAGTGAACTCCTGTCCTTGGAAATATTAAACCACAGGCTAGATATCATTTAATAGGGATGTGAAGTAGAGTAAGTCACTGCCCTTGGTGTGCAATTGTGAACTTGTCAATTTCTGAGGTCCCTTTCTACTTAGATATATAATACAAGATTTCTATTAGGTATGGGTGCTCTGATGATAATGAAAATCCCAGCAGCTATGTATGGGATGGTTACACCAGACACTGTGCTAAGGATTTTCTTTGAATTGTTTCTCACTCAATCTTCACGGTAGCTCAGTGAGGTAGGTACCATTATCACTGCTAGAAAGCAGTGAACTTATATGGTCTTACTGTGGCACTGGGTCCTTAAACATTATGCAAAACTGTGAGCAACTTTTATCGGTTTGTTCTTTTAAGAACATAACACAGCACTCTAAAAATAGATCTAACTAGATTGTTCACATCTAGCGATTAAGGCCACCCTGAGATTATAGCTGCATCATCAGGAACCCAAGATCTGAAGCATTCAGTCAAAGCCTCTTGGCCACCTCTCTTTTTGTCATGGCCTTCTTGGACTTGGAGGGGGAGAATGGAAGCAAGTACCAAGGAGAAAGTGTTCTCAGAAAAGCCACACCCATTAGAAAAATACAAGGCCTGAAAGGTGTGAGTGGGACTTGACACGGAAGAGCATTTCAAGCTTAAGAAAAAAAAAAAAAAGAAGAATGTGGGAGGATGTCAGCAACAATGCTTGAGATTCCCTGGTCCCCCAAAGAGTCTCTCCTCCATAAAACTAATGAGAATGTGACAAAAATAGATTCAACTTCTTATAGCTCTGGAAATTAACTGAAGATGTATAGCAATTTGCAGAGCATTTATTCAAGAAAAAGACTAAATCTCTGTGAGCACTGTGATATTGTAACTTGCACTACTCTCATCTCCCCCTCTCCAGCTCCACAATAGCTTTGAAACCAACAGCCTGCAATTACCATGAAAATCAGCAGTCTGGCAGCCACTGAAGGTGACAGAATGGAGTTGGAGTTCTTTCAAAGTCCCATTCCTAGACAATTGTCACTATTTGACCTGTTTGGCAGGCCCTGGAAGCTCCACTTGCAAGGCTATATTTGACCTGACTGGAAGCTTCCCAGGGTAAAAAACTTTGTCAAAACAACTAGAGGCAATTGATTCTCTTTGTGGCTGCCTGGGGTAATGTATAACAGTTGGGGAAAGCAATTGGCTAAATAAAAAGCCTAAAAGGAGAAGCTGGAAAAAGAGATTTTCATAGGGACTTTGAAAAGCTCCAAAGTGTTATTGGCAATCTAGACTGCCAAATGCATAAATAGGACTCCATCCATGCCCAGGACTGTGCAGATGCTCAGGAAAAACCCAAGAAAGCCTTAAGCTCTCACTTCAAGCTGATCTTGAGGCTCTGCACAAGCCATAAGTAAAGGGAATGCAGAGTTGTCAATTGCATGGCGGAGTGTTGAGTGTGCCTCAGCATTCACACAGAGCTCCTTGGCAGAGACTGGTTGAATTATTGATTCCAAGTGTTTGAGGAAATCCGTGTACAACTATTAGATGACTACTAACCAAGCAGAGACTTCAGTGTCCACACACAACAAAAAATACAGACTTTACAGAATTAGTTCAGAAAAGTCATTAAACAAAGAAACAACAACAAACCCTGGGGAAATGACAGTACGATCAAACCATGCATGGCCCTGCCTGCATGTGGGAATCCTCATCCAAGTCATACTTTCTAAACATCATAAAAAGCCCAAACCAGTCTCCTTTCCTGGCTCTCTCAAGTCATTTTCAGACCAGGTTAGGAGACGTGAGCTGCTCTCCACAAAAAGCCTCATGTGAGTAATAAATGTTTCATACTCTCTTGGGGTGTGTGTAACATCATCAGTCTCAGCATCTAAACCAAATTTTGGTGACATTTCATCTTGTTTATGCAGATGTCCACCACACCTATAAATAAACAAACTACTGAAACTGATTCAAGAAAAAATAAAAATCTGAATAGAGCTATCACAAGTAAAGAGATTAAATAAGCAATCAAATAACTTCCCAGAAAGAAAAGCCCAATTTAGGATGTCTTAACTGATTAATGTTAGCAAATATTTAAAGAAGAATTGGTACAAATTCTTCACAAACTCTTCCAGAAATGGAAGAGGAGGAAACACTTTCCACCTTATTTTCTATAACTAGTATTACCTTGATACCAAATTCTGACAAATACATCAAAAATAAAACCATAGACCAATATCTCTTTTAAGTGTAAATGCAAAAAAATTCAACAAAATGCTAGATAACTGGGTCCAACAACATATGGAAAGGATTATATACCTTGACCAAGTGGGATTTGCCCCAGGAATGCAAGATTGATTTAACCATCAGTGTAATGCATCATATTAATAGAATAAAGACAGAAACCACACAATCATCTCGATACACGCAGAAAAATCATTTGGCAAAATTCAACACCCCTTTGTAATAAAATCACTCAACACACTAGGAAGAGAAGGGAACTTCTTCAACCTCACACATGGCATCTATGAAAAACCCACAGCTGGCCGGGTATGGTGGCTCAAGCCTGTAATCCCAGCACTTTGGGAGGCTGAGCCAGGCGGATCACCTGAGGTCAGGAGTTCGAGACCAACCTGACCAACATGGAGAAACCCTGTATCTACTAAAAATACAAAAAATTAGCCCGGCGTGGTGGCAAATGCCTGTAATCCCAGCTGCTTGGGAGGCTGAGGCAGGAGAATCGGTTGAACCCAGGAGGTGGAGGTTCTGGTGAGCCGAGATCACGCCATTGTACTCCAGCCTGGGCAACAAGAACAAAACTCTGTCTCAAAAAAAAAAAAAAAAAGAAAAGAAAAACCCACAGCTAACATCATACTTAAAGGTGAAAGACTGAAAGCTTTCCCCCAAGAGGAACTAACAGGATATCTGCTGTCACTATTTTTATTCAATATTATACTGGAGGTTCTACCTAGGGTAATTAGGCAAAAAAAAAAAAAAAAAAAAAAAAAAAAAAAAAAAAAAAAAAAAAAAAAAGAAAAGAAAAAAGTCATCCAGATTGGAAAAGAAATAAAATGATTTCAATTTTAAGATGACATAATATTGTATGTAGAAATCCTAAGGAATTTACAAAAGAACTATTAGAGCTAATACATGATTTCAGCAAGGTTGCAGGATACAAGATCAACATACAGATATAAATTGTATTCTACACACTTGTAATGAAAAATCTGAAAATAAAATTAAGAAAATAGCACCCTTTGAATAGTATCAAAAAGAATAAAATACATAGAAAAAATGTAACAGGAAGTGCAAGACTGGTACATTGAAAACAATAAAACATTGTTAAAAAATTTAAAATCATCAAAATAGATGGAAATAAAACCTGTGTTCATGGATGAAAAAAATTAACATTGCTCTACAGATTCAATACAATTCTTATCAAAATCCCAGGTGGCTTAAGAAATTGACAAGTTAATCCTAAAATTCATAAGAAATTGAAAGGGATCCACAATAGCCAAAATAATCTTAAAAAAGATTTTAAAAAGTTGGAGAACTCACACTTCCTGGTTTCATAACATACACCAGGCTGGGCATGGTGGTTCATGCCCATAATCCCAGCACTTTGGGAAGTTGAGGCAGAAGGATCACTTGAGCACAGGAGTTTGAGACCAGCCTGGACGATATAGTGAGACCTTGTCTCTACTAAAAATTTAAAAAGGAATTAGCCAGGTGTGGTAACATGCACCTGTTGTCCCAGCTACTTAGGAGGCTGAGGCATGAGGATCACTTGAGCCCAGAAGATTGTACCACTGCACTCCAGCCTACATGACAGAGTAAGTCTCTGTCTCAAAAACAAAACAAACAACAAAAATACTGAAAGCTTTCCCCATACAGGAACTAACAGGATATCTGCTGTCACTATTTTTATTCAATATTGTTCTGGAGGTTCTAGCTAGGGCAATTAGGCAAAAAAAGGAAAAAGAAGTCATCCAGATTAGAAAAGAAATAAAATAATTTCAATTTTCAGATGACATAATATTGTATGTAGAAATCCTAAGGAATTTACAAAAGAACTGCTACCCTGAAAGAATTGTTGTAAGGCAAATACCCCTGTAATTACCATTAGGGGAAGAAATTTTTCCATGCTTCACAGAAACTCTCCTTATACCCCACCTCAATTTTAATCTTTTTCTGTACCACTACAGTTATAATTCTCCTAAAGCTTAAAGCAATTACCTCCTTGTTTATATTTATAGTTTCATCACTGAAGTGTGCATTCCTAAACTCAACACCTTAGTCTGGTTGCAAACAGTTTAAATGAGAAAAGATAAGGCCTGAATTAAGGCAGCAGCCCTAAACCTTTTTCTATAATCCTGATAGTGATTACCACCTAGGGGATTATAAATGTTTGCTTCTTCCTCTGGCACCAACAAGTTTACTGAGCAGAAGTTTAAAATAATTGGATAATGGGGCAGGTGACATCAGCAAGATGTTGTATTAGCAAATGCTGGACCCTTCTTCAATCCACAAACACATCTATTCTGCAAAAATTCATGGCTAAATTCCTTTGTGAGGAATCCAGAAACTAAAAGGCTCCTGCACTCCCAGCAAATGCAAAAACCAGACTCACCAAAGCTGGTAGAGAGATTTGAGATACCACCTTGTCCGAATCCCTAACCCCAGCACAGTGCCATGTAGTCAGCAAGAGACTCCCTAGCACTCAGTTTCTCCCAGGTGAGAGGAGTTGGTTCACATATCCAAGACCTCCAACTTTTCTGAGGAGATTCCCAGAGGACTGGCTTCTATCTTGTCAGTCTTGGAGCTCTGACAGAATTGGTACTATCTAGCTACCTGGGGAAGGACAGAGACAGAGGTTTAGACCAGTAGATGACATGGCACCCTGCCCTCTACTGCCTCACCTCCTGGCTCAGCACAGACAGGACAAAAATCATGGCTACCTACATTTCCCTGGAGAAGGAATGATTTGTTAAAGGCCCCCAAATCACTGGGCAGACTTATTGGTGGGGGTCTTCTCCTCTGAGGCCCAGCTGTGAGGACTGGGACAGGTGACTGCTTTGTCTAATGTGCAGACACCAACACAAAGAGTCAAGGAAAATGAATAATCATACGAAGATGTTCCAAACCAAAGAACAAGATAAATCTCTGGAAACTGAGCTAATGAAATAAACTTATGTGATTTACCTGACAGAGAATTCAGAATAGCTCTCATAAAGATTCTCACCAGAGTCAAGAGAACAATGCATGAAAAAAGTTAAGAATTTTGACAAAGAGATAGAGTATATTTAAAAGTACCAAAAAGAAATGGAACTGAAGAACACAACAACTGAACTGAAAAAATTTATGACAGGACATCAACAGGAGACAAGATTAATCAGAAGAAAGAATCAATGAACTTGAAGACAGGTCATTGGAAATAATTCAGTTAGAGGAGAAATTAAAATGAAAAAGAGTGAAAAAAAGCCCAAGGGTCTTATGGGCAACATCAAGCTGAACAATATACTCATTATTGGCATCACAGAATAAAAGAGAGAAAAGAACTGAGAACGTATTCAAAGAAATAATGGCTGAACACTTCCCAAATATGAGGAAGAAAATGAACATTCTGATCCAAGAAGCCCAAAGGTCATAAAAAAGTGATCCCAAAGCCTACAGGCATATTATAAGTTGTCATCCTAGAGAAAGAAAAATATCTTTCTCCCAGCCTCCATATTCAAATCTTAAGGAAAATTCTTATGGACTTAGCTTGAGTTTCAAGTTCATTTCTAAAATCAATCATGGTGGCCAAACGGAATGAGCATTCTGATTTGCCAGTGTGGTCTCATGTTACCCCTGTGCCTAGAAAGGAAACAGGAGATGAAAAGCATGGTGATAAGAAGACTGGATGGCACCACATGGGATAGGGGGAAAGTAGTTGAAAAAAAATAGTTGTAAGGAAAAGAGATACAAGGAGTCAAAAATAACAAATATCTACTTAAAAGCCTTTTCCACATTTAATGTTTTTTGTTCACTGTGGTGTAGTAATAAATGTCTATACTTAAGGGGTGAGGATTGATATATTTAAAGTGAATGGTCTGGAAGGCAAGGAAGCTCATTCCAACAGATTCATGCTACATTGTTTAGTGACAAATAAGGGGAACAGAACAGAGAAAGTGATTTCAGCTATAAATATAGGAGATAATAAAATCCTTTAGTAAACAGTATCTAAGCCTTGTTTTTATGATATTGGGGAACAGTAACAGATCAAAGTACTGTAGTCTTCAGTATGCAGACCTTTCACTTTCTTAGTTTATTCCAGGGTCTTTTTTTTTTTTGCTGCTATTACAAATAGCATTGTTTTCCTAATTTTTGTTTAAGATAGTTCATCGTTGGTATAGAAATGCCATTGATTTTTGTATGTTGATTTTGTATCCTCCAACTTTACTGAATTTATTAGTTCTAACAGTTTTTTGATGGAGTCTTTAGGGTTTTCTATGTATAAGATTATGTCATCTGCAAACAGCAACAATTTTACCCTTTGTTTTCAACGTGAGCGTCTTTTATTTATTTTTCTTGCCTAATTGCTTTAGCTAGGACTTCCAGCACTAAATTGAATAGAAGTGATGAGAGTGGGCATGTATGCCTTGTTTCTGGTCTTAAAGAAAAACATTTCAGTTTTCCATTATTCGGTATAATGTTAGTTATGGGTTTTTAAAAATATATATGACCTTTATTAGGTTGAGGTACTTTTCCTCTATTCTTAGTTTATTGAATGTTTTTCTCATGAAAGTGTGTTAAATTTTGTCAAAACCTTTTTTACATCCATCAAATGATTATGTAATTTTTATCCTTTATTCTGTTAATGGATTATCACATTAACTAATTTTCATATCTTGAAGCATACTTGCATCCTAGGAATAAATCCCACTTTGTCATAGTCTTTGATCCTTTTAATATAATGTTAAATTTGGTTTGCCAGTATTTTGTTGAGGATTTTTGCATCTATATATTCATCAAGGATATTGGGCTGTAATTTTCTTTTCTTGTGGTGTCTTTGTCCGGCTTTAGTATAAAGGTAATTCTGGCTTCATAAAATAAGTTAGAAAGTGTTCTCTCTTCTTTGATTTTTTTGGAAGAGTTTGAGAATAATTGGCATTAGTTTTGTTAAATGTTTGGTTGAATTCACTAGTGAAATTATTTGGTCCTGGGATTTTCTTTACTGGGAGTTTTTTGATTACTTGTTCAATCTTTACGCTAGTCATAGGTCTGTCCAGTCTTTGTATTTCTTCATGATTTAGTCATCATGTATTCATGGGTTGTAAGACTTAATATTCTTAAAATGCCCATATTACCCAAAGTGATCTATAGATTCATGCAATCCCCATCAAAAATCCCAGTGGCATTTTTATTTACAGAAATAGAATAATTCTAAAATTCATCTGAAGCCACAAAAGACAATGAATAAACAAATCAATCTTGAAAAAGAAGAACAAAGCTGGAGGCATTATACTTCCTGATTTCAAAATATCCTGCAAAGGTACAGTAATCAAAACAGTATGTTACCAGCATAAAGACAAACACACAGACCAATAGAACAGAATAGAGAGCTCAGCAACAAATCCGTGAATATACAGTCAACTGACATTTGGCAATGGTGCCAAGCATACTCAGTGGGAGAAATGATAATCTCTTCAACAAATGGTGTTGGGAAAACTGAATATCCACATGCAAAAGAATAAAATTGGACCCTATCTTATACCAAAAATCAACTCAAAATGGATTATTTAAATGTAAGACTTGAAACAGTAAAACTCCTAGAAGTAAACAGAAGAGAAAGTTTCATGACATTGCCCTTGGCAATGATTTCATGTACATAACAACAAAAGCACAGGTAATAAAAACAAAAATAGACAAATGGGACTACCTCAAATTAAAATGTTTCTGCACAGCAAACGACCAACTGAATGAAAAGGCAATCTATGGAACAGAAGACACGGGGTGACATGAGACCACTTTGGCAAATCAGAATGCTCATTCCATTTGGCCACCATGATTGGTTTTAGAAATGGACTTGAAGCTCAAAGAAAGCCCATAATATATTCCTTAAGATTTGAATATAGAGGCTGGAAGAAAGATTTTTTTCTTTCTCTAGGATGACAAGTTATATATAATAAGCCTGTAGGCCAATATCTGCTGGCAGCCACCTTTCCCAGGTATATGGATGAAACTATCTGAAGGATGAAGCCTCCATTCACAGAAAATCAGAGCTGTAAAGGGAAGAGGATATCCTGATGAATTTTTTTCTTGGATTGAGCCATGTCTGAAGTCAAGCCAACTTTTGAAGTATCCTATAGTACTTATATATTGCTTGGTAACAAATTATGCCAAAATTTAGTAGCTTAAAACAACAAACATCTATTATCTCATGCATTTCTGATATAGATATAGGAGTGACTAATCTGGGTGGTTCTGGGTCAGAATCTCTGGTGAGTGTGTAGGCAAGGTGTCAGTAGGGGGCTGCAATTATCTAAAGGCTTGCCTGGGGCTGGAGACGCACTTTCAATGTGGTGTACTCACGTGGCTGTTGGTTGGAGGCCAAATGTGCTAGGCAAAGCCTCATGCACATTTCTCTGTAAGGAAACAAAGCTGGCTTACTTGGGGGCAGGATTTTTTTTTTTCCCAGTTGTTCTTCAAAATGAAGTTTCCCGCTCCAAGTCCCAGCCAGATATGTGAAAAACAATCCTTGCAGAACAACCCTATTAGCAGTTCTGCAAGGATTTTTAGGAACCGTATTAGCAAGTTCCTCAGTTCCTCACCATGTGAACCTCTCTTCACGACTTAGTAACTGGCTTCCTCTAGAGTGACTAATCCAAGAGACAGCAAGGATTGACAGCCATGACAGCACAGTGCCTTTCATGACTTACTCTCCAAAGTTACAAACCTTTACTTTTGCTTTATCTTATTTGTTAGAGCAAGTCACTAAATTTGCCCACATCTAAGATGAGGGTATTTGGGCTTCACCTCTTGAATGGAGAAGCACCCAAAAATCTGTGGCCTTTTTTTTTAATTACACTCTCAGTTACATGAATCAATAAATTCCATTTTTGGCTTAGCTTCTATTGGGTTTCTATCACTTGCAACCAAAGTGCCCTAACCAGTATCTACATCTGAGTCATTAAGAAAGTTTCAGACAGGGCTGGGCGCGGTGGCTCACACCTGTTAATCCCAGACTTTGGGAGGCCGAGGCAGGCGGATCACGTGGTCAGGAGATCGAGACCATCCTGGCTAACACGGTGAAACCTTATCTCTACTAAAAATACAAAAAATTAGCCGGGTGTGGTGGCAGGTGCCTGAAGTCCCAGCTACTCGGGAGGCTGAGGCAGGGGAATGGCGTGAACCCGGGAGACGGAGCTTGCAGTGAGCCGAGATCACGCCACTGCGCTCCAGCCTGGGCGACAGAGTGAGACTCAGCTTCAAAAAAAAAAAAAAAAAAGAAAGTTTCAGATATTATTGTTTATTGCTTTTAATCTAGTGAATTCATAAATCGTCACTTAACTCAAGCAAAACAATGTTACTCTCTTTGTACATTGTACAGATGCAGGATAACAATGCAGTGTTATCCTGCATCTGTACAATCAAGCACCCAAACTGGTTCTGTAGAGGCAGGACCTTAGCATATAGCAGAGATAACTTATCTTCCAGCAGATCCGGAGCTCCATTTTGTAGACAGAAATGAATGCTCTGTGCCACAGAAGGAGCTGTTGCACTATTCATTCCCGTTTCCTCCCATTCACTCTCCACATCTCCAATCCTGGCATTGTCTGCTTTGTTACTTGTTAAAAACTTGATTTCGTAGATTGCTTTAAAATAAGAACAAAATGTACTTTGACACACATCATTTTGTTTGGTTCTCATTAATTTTGAGAGAAAGGCAAGATAGATATTTAAATGACCCCTATTTTAGTGGTAAACAAGCTGAAATTAGATAAATAAAATGATTTGCCTAATGCCTCATGAGTGATTTGCTTTCTTTTAAATACTTTAGGAGAATGTTTGGGGATTAAGTCTCAAGATAATAAGGGCAAGTCAGAAAATACAACTTACCTGTCTTTTCTTTTCAAAACTTTTTTGAGAGAAGGATATAATGCGTGGAGTTCAGAAAACCCATAATTTGTATAGCATTGATGTAGCCCATTCACAATCTAGGATTTTTGATATACGTGAGCAGTCATGGTGGAGTGGGTCAGACCAGGCATGGCTCAGCTTCGTACTTCAGGCCACACTGTTCAATCTGTTCACTTGATCCACATGCTAGGATGTGAGAATTTTTCTCTTACATCCTTTCGCTGGAGCCATTTTGGCTGTGCTTATGGTAGTGACAGAGTTTCAAAGAAGAAGAGCCCATAATGTCTCCCAGGCATACTACAAAGGAAATATAAGTCATCAAATAGTTGAATCTGGATCTGGGCCAGGATAACTCGACTCTTCTTATAGAAGGTGCCATGGGATCTATAGTGATGGCAGGTGATGGAAGAAGTGGGTCCCCTCAGCTTTATGTCTTGTCTGAAAGATGATAACCATGCTAATAAATTTAGTGCCACATTCTTTACAGTGTGCTCATCCGACCCCTAGAACAAGGCCATAAACCATAATGGAGTCCATGATGCTTTCAATTATTAGACATTCATTTCTGCTTTTCACTTTCTTTCTCTTCTGCCAAAATTTGGCTTTATTGATTACACTTTATGGAAGGATGGAAGAGGGCAGGGGTAGAAAAAAGGCCCACTTTTTAGAAATCTGAGAAGAATTATATGTCTGTCAAAATAAAATCCCGGCTCTCTAATGGAGGAATACAAAACATTTTTGCTATTGTATCTACCATAAATACACAGATATAATGAGCAGAGCCTGGTTGGGGGCATTCTTGAGTCTTTTCAGAGCCACAGGTTATTTTATGTTAACACCCTCATTAAGAAAATCATTAAGTTTTTCTTTTAGTAGTTAGTAGTGAGGATATGTACAACCCCACTTCTGGCTTTTTTTTGAGAGCAGGAAGGCATACAGAAAAGTTTATGGAATGTGGCATTGAGCTCCAGAGAGAGGCTCTGTTTGTCAAGGAAAAAGGGAACAGAATAGAGGTGGGTGTTAAAGAATATTTTATTTGGATTTCTTGCCCTGATACTTGACACCGAAAACTTGCCGTTCCAGTTGTTGGAAGGAAGACTGGAAGAGCTATTTTATTCCCTGCTGGTCTATTCTTTTGTATTTTATTAAACATTTTAACTAGTCACCTCCTTTCCAGACACACTGTTAACAATTGAATGCCACATCCATACCAAATTCTCACCCATGACTCAAGGGAAGCTGGACACTATTCTCAAAATAGAAGTAACGAGCCATTAGTGGTGATGAAATACTAGATGGAAAAATCTCAATTCCAACTCCCTCCAGGAACTGAAGACTCTAAAATATTCTTCTACCCTGAAACCTGTCTTGCAATCAAATTAAGATCTCCTCACTAATTTTTACCTCTCACCTGAGATTCCTTGTATTTGTGAATGAAAGTCTTTCATCAGCAATAAAGGGTATGCTTAGTGAATAATGAATTAAGATTGTGGAAGAGAATCATGTCTTTTGGAGAAGACGATCAGTCTAGGATGATGCAAAATCTCTTGGTGATTTTTCTTTTTTTAACTTTTGGCTGGCAGTGAAAGTTTTCCCTGAAAGATTAAGGTAGGTGAAAATAGGTGAGGAGAGGAAAAGGCTGAGGTAGTAAGTAAAGAGACAATTTTGATTTGTTTTGTAAGTTTCCAGAAGGTCCCTAGGCAAGTAGAGAACCAAAATCAGTAGAAGGAAATTGCAATGGAAGGGAAATATACAAGTGGGACTGAGCAGCATAGCAATTTGTGAAGCCCTTTAATAGAAACCTTATCCACTATATTGGAGAATGAGTGAACCATGTCAGTAGTCAAAGAATGCTGCCAAGAGCTCTATGTGATATTCTAAATACAGAATCCATATTGCCATTGTCTGCATTCCTTTCTAGACTTTTTGGAGTGAGGAATTAGTGAGCGTTGTAATGAGGAAGTACTGAGTAATTGGAAAATATTGTTAATTGTGGCGCTTCCTTCTTTGATTGCTGTCTCTGAAACAGTCTGAAAAAATAATCCTATCCTGCGTTTTTGCGATTTGTTCATTATAACAAATGAAGTCAGAGCCATGTGCGCTGTTTCTGGTTGTGGATATTAAGAAAGGCCTTTAAATTGAATCATGTCTATATTTTTGTTCGTTTGTTTGTTTTGAGACAGAGTCTTGCTCTGTCACCCAGGCTGGAGTGCAATGGCGCGATCTCGGCTCACTGCAAACTCTGCCTCCCAGGTTCAAGTGATTCTCCTGCCTCAGCCTCCCAAGTAGCTGGGATTACAGGTGCCTCCCATGGTGCCCAGTTAATTTTTGTATTTTTAGCAGAGATGGGGTTTCACCATGTTGGCCAGTTTGGTCTCGAACTCCTGACCTCAGGTGATCCGCCCATCTTGGCCTTCCAAAGGGCCAGGACTACAGGTGTGAGCCACCGTGCCCAGCCATGTATACAATTTATACAGACATTAAGCAAATTCCTAGTCGAAGAGCACAATTGACCTTGCTTTCAAAGCTTCCATTAGAAAAAAATGTATGGTAAGACAAATCTATGTTTTTATAACCAAAATGGGAGAAAGGAAGCACACAAGTTTTCAACTACGTATTTGGTGACTCAGTCTCACATTGTGATTTGGGCAAAAACAGAGTCAAATAATCTAACACGGATGTGTCTCCTCAACTAAGTTAGCTTTGCAAACCAGAAAGTTCTAGCTTTGGGGGATGGGCCTATACAGGAGGGGTCAGTGGACGGGGCCATGTGACGACAACATGGCCGTGGCTTTGGGTTCTTGAAGCACTCACAGATGACCAAAGAGGCACAGGAACAAACTCATCAGTACATTTTTATGTGATCCTGTAGAGCTTGTTTCTTTTTGAGAGTGTCGGGAGGTTTGGCTGATTCACCCAATATGCCTCAAGTGGGAGCTGAAAAAGCCATGTTCTCTAGACACCAAAAATGAGAGTGGATGAATTCAGCAATTGGTAGGTAACATGATCTGCCTTTTGTAGCAAGCCAGAAGCCAGATGTCCCCTCCCCTTTGATCTGAATAACACTTTAGGCTGCAGACAATAAGATTGGTTTTAAATTTATTGTCTCTTTGATTTCTGCATTCTAATGCTTTTTAAATTCTTTACACAAGACAGGGCTATATATAGGCAACTGGGATGGTTCAATGGAAGCCAAAAAAATACCAGTAGCTTATGAGAAGTGCTAGGCAAAGTCTCATGCACATTTCTCTGTAAGGAAACAAAGTTGGCTTACTTGGGGGCAGGATTTTTTTTTTCCAGTTCTTCAAAATGAAGTTTCCCGCTCCAAGTCCCAGCCAGATATGTGAAAAAAAATCCTCGCAGAACAACCCTATTAGCAAAGCAGTAAAGCAGAAGAATCTGATTTAAATGAAATACACCAAATCAGAATGTCTTCCTTCTCTAAGTCCTCTATGACTTTCATCCCAGTTAAAGTTTTATTCCTGTCCTTGTTGATGCAGCCTGTGTCGGGCAATCAGATGACGAGGCCAAGAGTTTGATTTCATTCATTCTGTTGATGGTGAAGATGCAAATATCTGAACCCAATCTCATCCCATTGACAGAAGGTAAATGGCATTTGGAAATCTCCTTTTTTTGTCTGCAACAGAGTCTTACTCTGTCACCCAGTCTAGAGTGCAATGGTGTGATCTCAGCTCACGGCAACCTCAATCTCCAGGGTTCAAGCAATTCTCCTGCCTGAGCCTCCTGAGTAGCTGGGATTACAGGTGCACACCACTACGCCCAGCTAATTTGTGTATTTTTAGTAGAGATGGGGGTTTCACCATGTTGGCTAGGCTGGTCTCGAACTCTTGGCCTCAAGCGATCCACTTGCCTCGCTCTCCCAAAGTGCTGGGATTAAGGGTATGAGCCACTGTGCCAGTCTCCTTTAATTAATCTTCAGTGAATACTACTGATGAGGCATTCAACTGAATCTGTAAAAACATTTGGCCACGATTTTGCCCTCAAGTGGATCAAACCACGGACAATTGCCCCAAGATGTGAGCCTGCTCTAGAGAACACCAGTTCCGTAGCAGGAGAAAGGGTTCAAGTCTCAATACATCATGTTTTCACTGCAGCTATGTGACCTTGAGTAAATCATGGCTTCTCTTCATCTATTTTCTCTTCTGGAAGAGTAGGTAAACTCAGATTGGCCTAACATTCTATTAAATTAAAAAGTCCTTCTACAAACAGAATGTTATTGGAGCCAAATAACCGCACTGTAAGGGAGCCAGGGCAGCACTGTCCTTCATACTTTAGGATGAAGAAGCCGAGCCCAAGGGGTCCACGAGTACTGGAAAGCCTTGTGACTGGTTGGAGACAAAGGCAATACTGTGACTCAGATCTCCTGACATCTTCTATCTCTCTCTCTCTCTCTTTTTTTTTTGAGACGTAGTTTTGTTCTTCTCACCCAGGCTGGAGTGCAGTGGCGCGATCTCAGCTCACTGCAAACTCCACTTCCTGGGTTCAGGAGATTCTCCTGCCTCAGCCTCCCGAGTAGCTGGGATTACAGGCGCTTGTCACCACACCTGGCTAATTTTTGTATTTTTAGTTGTATAGTTAGGGTTTCACCATGTCGGCCAGGCTGGTCTCGAACTCCTGACCTCAGGTGATCCGCCCATCTTGGCCTCCCAAAGTGTTGGGATTACAGGCGTGAGCCACTGTGCCCCGCCTCTTCCCTCCTTCTGTCCACTTAGTAAGACTCACTCTACACTCTGCCTCTCCACCTGTGTACTATGAGGACCAGAGGTTTTGTCTGTAAGAAGCGTTTGCAAACACATGCTGCCATTACAGCACAATTCTGATTCTTCTCCTCAGGAATCCCCTATGAACTTCTAGTGGAAAGACAAGCCATGAAAGCAGTCATTGAGGTGAGGACTGAAAAAACAAACAGCAAAGGCTGATTTTATTTTTTTCTGTGCCAGTGGTGCAGCTCACCTTTGCAGCATGAAAGCAGAGTTCGGTGTGCCCCTTTGTGTCAACACATCTATCAGATTTTCCA
This sequence comes from Homo sapiens, assembly GCF_000001405.40. Classification (NCBI taxonomy): domain Eukaryota; kingdom Metazoa; phylum Chordata; class Mammalia; order Primates; family Hominidae; genus Homo; species Homo sapiens. The sequence goes on from NW_012132920.1 coordinate 2,268,675, forward strand.
GTCAGTTTTCAATCAATTCCTTGGATATCAGGTATTAGGCCATAAAGCATTTCTTTCCACTTTATGGTTCTAAAATATAAACTATGGCCACAGCTGAAGCTTTTAAGTCTGATGGGGATGGCTCCCAAGAGAGGCTCTTCAGAAGCCTAAATAATAGTCTGAAGTGGGTATAAATTTGGGAGGAAACACAGACCCTCACTGCACTGACACTCAAGTCTCCCTAGGATATTTTCTTAGTGCTCACAAAGGACTCCCCTAGAGGTTTTGAAGAAATATGAAGAAACTATAAGACCCAATCTGTATACCCAAGGGTATTACAGACAATATGGTAGCAAAAGCACTTAAAAAAGATCTGTGAAGTCAGCACCTGCAACAATCTATCTGAACAACTCTACATGGAGATATACTCACACACAGTGGTGGAAGTGCAGATGTGGCTGGATTTGCTCATGTTTTGAATAGAGGTCTCTTAAAATGACTGTTTCAAGGTGTCCTTTCAGACCTGGGGGTTACCTGCTTCTTCTCTATATTTTTCTGCTTTTCAGAAAAATTCATCCTATCTGAATGAAGACTTTCAATATGTGGAATGAATGCCATACAGGTTCTGACTACATGATCAAAATTACTTATGTAACTTTGGGCCTGAGAAAGAATTGTACAGGGGACTACAGGATTTTATCCTAAAGGACCAGAATCCCTCTTTTTATTCACTTCCTGAGAATGAGCATGATTTCTTAGTTCAAATACACAGGCTGTCCCGCTGACTCCCAATCACCCAGATGGAAATGAGTGGTGTCAGTGCTGTGTGCAGGAAGCAGGATGTTACTTTAGACTCTGTGTGCAGGAGAGATGGCCGTAGTAACAAATTTATGTGGGTCTGGCCTTTCAATCCTGGAATTCAAATGCGCATGAGGTTGCAAAGGGGCCTGGAAATTCAATTGCCATCCCTTGACCTAGCCCAAAGCAAAACATGAAGAAGGTAACCAGGAGACACCACTGTAAATTGAAATCATCTGGTGTACATAGCATAGGGATATATAAACATGAAGTTTAAAGCATATAGAATTCTCCAGTGCCACTATCTTATAGGGTATGACATTTGTTCTTTCTAAAGTGCTACTGATATAATTTGATTCTTATAACTTTGTGAAGTAGGGAGGTGAATGTACATTTGGCAGATTGAGAAACCAAGATTCTAAAAGGTCAAGCGACTTGCCTAAAGTCATAAATGAGAGCTATGACAGTACCCCAACCTTCCAATGCCCTAGGATCTTTTTCTTTCTTTCCTTCCTTCATTCCTTCCCTCCTTCCTCTCTTTCTTTCTTTTTTCTCTCTCTCTCTCCTTCCTTCCTTCATTCCTTCCTTTCTTCCTTCTTTTTTTTCCCCGCATAATTTGATCTGCATTAGCCTCCAAAACTCCTTGGATTGGAATAAAATATGGCTCCTGTATTTTGTTTTGTTTTGGTCCTTTAAAAAATGTCCTTTCTTTATCATGCTTTATCATATATATACAGAAAAAGACACAAAATGAAGCAGAGCTTATTGAATTATTTTCAAAGACTTTTGTAACATCGCCAGCACGGTGGAGGTCCTTTGAGTGTACTGAGCCAGGAGGGCTTCATGGACATGAGACAGGATCCTGTGCTTAGCAGACCTCACACCTTGGTTAGTGTTCTACTGAAACTGTTTTAAAATTCCTAATAATTTATGAACAAGGAATCTTATATATTCATTTTGCACTGGGCCTGTCCAATTATGTACCCAGTCATGCTCCTACCCAATCACATCTCCTTCTCCCTCACAAATACCCATTATCCTAACTTTCACGGGTCCCTTTTTTGCTCTTCTGTATTGTTTTATCACCTCGGTATGCATATCTGCACATTATAGTTTACCTGTCAGAATTTTCTGTAAATGGAATTGCATGGCATATTATCTTGTGTGTCAACCTTGTTGGTGAGATTCAACCATTTGTTATTTGCACTTGTCTCATTCCTGTATAACATTTTCATCTGTGAGTATATCATAATTTTAAAAATATATTCTATTTTTGATGGAAATTTGAGAGATTTCTAGTTTTGGCTATTATGAATAAGGTTGTTATAAAAATTGTTGTATGTGTATCTCCGCACCAAAGTGCATCTGCTCCCATTGAGCATTTTACCTGTGAGTGGAATTTTGCTAGGTTATAAGGTGTGTGTTTGCTCAGCTTTATGGATAATGCCAAGTGTTTTCCAAAGTCATTGTCTCAATTTACACTCCCTCCAACAGCATCAGAGGATTTTCTTGTGCCACATTTTCACCAACGCTGGATGTTGTTGGTTCTTTCAATTTCAACCATTCCAGTGGGTGTGTATTAAATCACACTAATAATCTCATTGTGATTTTTTTTTTTTTTTTTTTGGAGACGGAGTCTCTGTCGCCTAGGCTGGAGTGCAATGGCACAATCTCAGCGCACTGCAACCTCCGCCTCCTGGATTCAAGCAATTCTTCCGCCTCAGCCTCCCGAGTAGCTGGGATTACAGGTACCCGCCATCGTGCCTGGCTAATCTCATTGTGATTTTTATATGGTCTTCCCTGATCAGTAATGAGGTTGAGTATCTTTCCAAAAATTTATTGGCCATTTGGCTATCTCCTTTTGTGTAGTTTCTTGCTGATTCTTTTATTAGTTGGGGTCTTTTCTTATTAATTTATGAGTTCTTTATACATTCTGATGACAGTTCTTTATCAGAACCATGTAGCAAATAGCTTCTCCCAGTCTTTACCTTAATAGGAGAGAAGTTCTTACTTTTAATGTAGTAAAATTTATCCAATTTTATGGTTGGTAACTTTTTGTGTCCTAATTAAAAATATTTTCCTTTCACAAATCATGAATACAGTCTTTAAAAAACTTGATTCCTTTGCTTTCACATGTAGACCTACAAAGCACCTGGAAACTGATACTTGCACGTACATATTAGCTAGAGGTCAAGTTTTTTCTTATATAAATGTACCATTATCCCAGAACTATTCATTGCAACAGCTTTTCTGCATTTCTCTAGAGTGGCATTTGTGTAATAGATCGTATAGTTATATATAGGTCTGTTTGGGGAGTCTTTATTGTATTCTATTTGTCTATCCTTGTACCAAATTCACACTGTTATAGTAGTTATATAGTTTCAAAAAAATCATGATATCTGGTAGAACACATTTCTGACAAACTTGTTCTCTTCTTCAAGATCATCTTGGCTACTCTTGACACTTTGCAATTACATTCAGATATTAGAATCAGCTTGTCAAGTTTTACAATGATATTTGCTGGGATTTTAATATGCAACTGCATCGAATCTATTTATTAGTTGGGGGGCGAATTAACATCCTGAAATGGACTGAATGTTTATGGCCCCCCAAAATTCACATGCTGAAATTCTAATCCCCAATATGATGGTTTTAGAAGGTGATTTGGGAGGGAATTAGGTCATGAGAATGAAGCCCTCATCAATGGGGTAAGTGCCTTTATAAAAGATACATCAGATAGCTCTTTCACCGTACTTTCACCATCTGAGAATATGAGAAGTCAGTTGTCTGCACCCTGAAAGAGGGTCCTTACCAGAACCTGACTATGCTGGTCCCCTCCCTGATCTTGGACTTCCAGACTCCAGAAACTGTGAGAAATAAATATTTATTGTTTAAGCCTCCCCATCTGATATAATTTGGATATTTGTTCCTTCCAAACATCATGTTGAAATTTGATCCCCAATGTAGGAGGTGGGGCCTAATGGGAGGTGTTTGGGTCATGTGGATGGATCCTTCATGAGTAGATTAATGCCCTCCTTCTGGGTGAGTTCTCGCTCTAATAGTTCCCACAAGAGCTGGTTGTTAAAAAGATCCTGGCACCTGCCAGGCGCAGTGGCTCACGCCTGTAATCCCAGCAGTTTAGGAGGCTGAGGCAGGCGGATCACGAGGTCAGGAGTTCAAGACCAGCCTGACCAATATGGTGAAACCTAGTCTCTACTAAAAAATACAAAAATTAGCCGGGCGTGGTGGCACCCGCCTGTAGTCCCAGCCCAGGAGGGAGACTGAGGCAGGAGAATCGCTGGAACCCGGGAGGCAGAGTTGCAGTGAGCCGAGATCACACCACCGCACTCCAGCCTGGGAGACAGAGTGAGACTCTGTCTCAAAAAAAAAAAAAAAAAAAAAAATCCTGGCACCTTCCCCTTCTCCCTCTTGCTTCCTTCCTCTCCCCTTCACCTTCCACCATAAGTGGAAACAGCCTGAGGCTCTCGCCAGATGCAGGTGCTGGTGCCATGCTTCTTGTACAGCCTGTAGAACAATGAGACAAATAAGCCTTTTTAAAAAATAAATCACTCAGCCTCAGGTATTCCATTATAGCAACACAAAAGAGACTAAGAAACCATTTTTGGTAATTTTTTTCTTTCTTTCTTTTTTTTGGAGACAGGCTCTCACTCTGTCACCCAGGCTGGAGTGCAGTGGTTTGATCACGGCTTACTGCAACCTCTGCCTCCTAGGCTCAAGCGATCCTCTCACCTCAGCCTCCTGAGTAGCTGGGACCACAGGTGCACACCACCATGCCTAGCTAATTTTTGTATTTTTTGTAGAGATGGGGTTTCACCATGTTGCCCACACTGGTCTCGAACTCCTGGGCTCAAACAATCCACCTGCCATGGCCTCCCAAAGTGCTGGGATTATAGGCATGAGCCACCACACCCAGCCTATGGTAATTTCTTATAGTAGCCCAAATTGACTAAGACACATCCTACATACTCAATGTATAAATATGCTTATATCCCTCTATTTGTTTAGGTTTTTAATTGCTCACAATAGTGATTTATAATTTTCTATGTAGAAGTCATGTGTATACTTCATATGTGATTCCAAATGGCACTTAAACATTTTGTGGTTGGTTGTTGAGATATATATATGTGTGTGTGTTTATATACTATATAGTTTATCTTATATTCAAAACCTCTCTTATGTGCTTATTAATTCTAACACTTTGTCTATAGATTATTTCAAATTTTGTGTGCATACAATATTATCTGTGAATAAGTTTTATTTTTTCCTTTCTAATTTCTACAACTTTAATCTTTTCTCTTAGATTATTGCACTGATTAGGATCTTCATTCAACATAACAGTGATTAGAGATAATAATAGCAGCATTCTTCTCTTGTTCTCAATCTCAAAGAGAAGCTTTCAGTATTTCATCATTCAACATAATGCTCAATTAGGTTGTTTTATGAATACATATTTATCAGATGCATTTATTCTAGTTTGGTAAAAGTATTTTTCCATTATTAATTCATGATGCATTTTATCCGATGTTTTTGGGGAGCATCAATTGAGATGATAATTTTTCCTCTTTACTCTGTTACCATGGTGAATTAAATTGCTTGATTTCTCAATATTAAACAAAACCATTGAGTTCCTGGAATTATAAAGCCAATTTAATCATGGTATATCATCTTTTTATATATTAGTTGAACCCAGGTTGCTAATATTTTGTTTAGGATTTTTGGATCTAAGCTTATGACTGAGAATCACCTGTAATTTTCCTTTGTTATGTGCCTTTATCAAATTTTATTATCAAGATTATTTGATCATCTTTCTTTTTTATTCTCGAGAAGAGTTTGTGTAAGTTTCATGTAATCTCTTCCTTAAATGATTGATGAATTTTTTAAGTGAAAGCTTTGGGTTTAGTTTGATTATGTTTAATAATTTTAGAAAGATTCAGATATTCTATTTTTTTGTTAGTTTTGGTGAATTGAATATTTTTAGAAGAATGTTTCGATTTCATCTAAATTTTAAAATATGTTGGGTTAAAGGTTTTTAAAATCATCTTTTTAATCTTCTACAGGCTCTATAGTGATGTTCCATGGGTCCCTTCTTTCACCCTGATTTCTTTTTTTGTTTGTTTGTTTGAACCATTCCCACCTTCACCCCCTCCCCACCTCCTGGCCCCACACTACCCTTAGAGCCTCTGGTAACCATCCTTCTACTCTCTATGTCCAGGAGTTCAACTGATTTCATTTTTAGATCCCACAAATAAGTGAGAACATGTGATATTTGTCTTTCTGTGCCTGGCATATTTCACTTGGAATAATGATCTCCATTCCATTCATGTTGTTGCAAATGACTGGATCTTGTCCTTTTGTATAGCTGAATAGTATTCCATCATGTATATGTACCACATTTTCTTTATCCCTTCATCTATTGATAGACAATTAGGTTGTTTCTAAATCTTAGCTATTGTAAACAGGGCTGACAGTGCTGCAGCAAACACTAGAGTGAAGACAAACCTTCAACAAAACTGGTTTACTTTCTTTTCGGTATATACTCAACAGTGGGGTTGCTGGGTCATATAGCAGCTCAATTTTTAGTTTTTTAAAGAACTTGCAAACTGTTCTCCACAGTGGTTTTACTAATTTACATTCCCAACAACAGTGTACAAGTGTTTCCTTTTCTCCACATCCTCGCCAGCGTTTGTTATTGCCTGTCTTTTGGATATAAGCCATTTTAACTTGGGTGAGATAATAGCTCATTGTAGTTTAGATTTGCATTTCTCTGATAATCAGTGATGTTGAGCACCTTTTTCATACGCCTGTTTGCCATTTGTATGTCTTCCTTTGAGAAATGTCTGTTCAATTTGCCCATTTTTGGATCAGATTATTATATTTTTTCCTATACAGTTGTTTGAGCTCCTCGTATATTCTGGTTATTAATCCCTTGTCAGAGAAGTAGTTTGCAAATATTTTCTCTCATCCTGTGGGTTGTTTCTTCACTTTGTTGGTTGTATCCTTTGCTGGGCAGAAGCTTTTTAACTTGATGTGATTCACTTACCCATGTTTGTTTTGGTTGCCTGTGCTTGTGGGATAATTCTCAAGAAGTCTTTGCCCAGACCAATGTCCTGAAGATTTTCCCAAAAGTTTTCTTGTAATAGTTTCATGGTATGAGGCCTTAGATTTAAATCTTTCATTAATTTTGATTTGATTTTTGTATGTAGTAGGAGATGGGGGTCTAGTTTGCTTCTTTTGCTTACGGATATCCAGTTTTTCCAGCACCATTTATTGAAGAGACTATCTTTTCCCTAGTGTATGATCCTGGCACCTTTGTCAAAAATGAGTTCACTGTAGGTGTGTGGATTTGTTTCTGGGTTCTCTATTCTGTTCCACTGTTCATGTGTCTGTTTATATGCCAGTACCATGCTGTTTTGGTTACTATAGCTCTCTAGTATAATTTGAAGTCAGGTAATATATTCCTCCAGTTTTATTCTTTTTGCTTAGGATAGCTATGGCTATTCTGGGTCTTTTGTGGTTTTGTATAAATTTTAGGATTGTTTTTTCTATTTCTCTGAAGAATGTCATTGGTATTTTGATAGGAATTTCACTGAATCTGTAGATTGCTTTGGGTAGTCTGGACATTTCAACAATATTAATTCTTCCCTTTTATGAACATGAAATATTTTTCCATTTTTTTTGGTGTCTTCTGTTCCTGCTTTCTGATATTCGTTCTCATGCTCTCATTTGACTTAGTCTTGCCAACGGTTTAAAAACTTTATTAGACTTTAAAAAATCATCTTTTGGTGTTAATTCTGTTTTCTACTTTAATTATTTCATTCTTCCCTTTCTTTTGATTCTACATGTTGTTATTTGTCTAATTTCTTTTTTCCCCCTAAGGTAGTTTTGTTATAGCATGCCTAATTTCTTGAGATTAATATTTTGTCTTGTTTTGTAATTATACACTTAAGATTATAACTTCCCTGCTAAACACTGATTTTGCTCTATTACGCAAGTTTTTCCACGAAAAATATTATCTCTCAGCTCAAAATATTTTTAAATTTTCATTGCGATTTCTTTTTACCCACTGGTCATTTAGAAGAACGTTTCTTACTGTTTATAAATGTAGAAATTTTCTAGTTTAAAAAGCTATTTATCTCCATTTTAATTGCTTTGCTTTCACAGAACATATTTTATAGTTTCAGTTATTTTAAATTCGTTGAGACTTGCCTTACGATCTAACACATAGTCAATTTTTGTAAACATTTGTATGTGCTTAAAGAGTTGTTGAGTGTTGTGTTCTATATATGTAGATTAGGTCGATTTATTAATCATGGTGTTCATGATCCTACTTCCTTCTAATTTCTCTCCGTGTGACCTGTCAGTTACTCCCACAGTGTTGGGTGGCTTTTTCTGTTTCTCCTTATAATTCTATTTTTCTATTAAATATTCAGAGACTATGCCATTACATAAATAAAAAATGAAATTGTTTTATCTTCCGAGTAAGTGAAGCCTTTTCTTAATGTGAAGTGTTCCTATTAATGTAATGCTTTTTTTCTTAAAGTATACTTTAGTGAATATTAATGTAGCTATATCAATTTAGGGCAGGGCTTCAGGTGACAAATTTTCTCTTTTGTGTGTGTGTCATTTGAACACTGAATAAATCATATAATTATCTTCTGAATTTCATGCTTTCACTTGAGAAATCAGCTAATGATCTAGTTTTTGTAACTTTAAATGGTATATTTATACACTTTTTATCCTTTCACTCTCACCCTTTCTGAATCTTTGTATATCCCATCAGTAGCTGTAAAGATTTTTGGTCTTCCCAAGAAATCCATTCTCACAGAATTTGTCTTTTAATTGGGGTATATAATTTATTTACTTTTAACATAATTACAAATATGAGTTTAAATCTACCATCCTACTATAAGTTGAGTTTTTCTTATCCAAAATACTTGGGACTACAAGTTTTTCAGATTTCAAATGTTTTTGGATTTTGGAATATTTGCACATATATAATGAGATATCTTGGGGATGAGACCCAAGTCTAAATGTGAAATTCATTTGTTTTATATATACCTTAAACACATAGCCTGAAGGTAATTGTATATATTTTAATAATTTTGTGCATGAAACAAAGTTTATTTACACTGAACCATCAGAAAGCACAGGTGCCATTATTTCAGCCACCTGTATGGACAATCTGTCATTGTTTGGCATCACCATCTTTACTGACTGAATTTATATGCAACTGAGAAGCAATCATTTTCTTACACTTACTCACACAAGTACCCAACAGTAAAAACTAGGAGGTACCATGAATCCAGTGAAAAAATAATGTTCAGGGTAACTAAGCAGCACAGTAGCGTCACCAGAATACCTGTATCAGTTTTTAAACAATAGCAACCACAAAGAACGGCAAGTTTTCAATCTCTACTTTTGATGTGTGTTTCGATGAAAAGGTTACTATACACTGAATTTTACCTTTCTAGATGAGAAGAAACATTAGAAGCAGTTGAGAGACGAGGAAGTGGGTCCTCCAGGAATGAGGAGGCATTCTGCTGCATGGCTATTTTTAAATGGCTGGAGGGTCTGTTTTCCCTTGGAAATCCTGAATAAACTGAGGTTGTGCGTCTGCATTTTGACTACAACCCATCACATGAGGTGGTGTGGAATTTTCCACATATAACATCATATCAGTGATCAAAAGTTTCAGATTTTGGAGCATTTCAGATTAGGGATGCTCAACCTGTATAACAACTCTTTGATTTTAATGTCTTTTTTTCCCTGGATGCCTTTAAGATTTTATTTTTGTTTCTGTTTTCCTGAAGTTTAATTAAGATGCATCTAGGAGTGAATTTCTTTTCCTTTATACTGCTTGGGTTTCCGGCAGCTTCCTGAATCTGTTGGCTGATGCTTTGCTTTAGTTTTGGAACATTTTGCCATCAACCCTGCTAATATAGCTTTACTACTTCTGTTCTCACTGTATCCTCTACATTTCTTACCTTCTGTTCAATGTTTCATCTCTTTTGAGTTTCATTTTAGATTGTTTCTTCAGACCTGCTTTTCAGTTTACCAATTCTCTATTACTTTATTTCTAATTTGCTGTAACACCTATCCTGGGCATTTTTTTTTTTTTTTTGAGATGGAGTCTCGCTCTGTCACCCAGTCTGGAGCGCAGTGGCGCAATCTCGGCTCACTGCAAGCTCTGCCTCCTGGGTTCATGCCATTCTCCTGCCTCAGCCTCCCCAACAGCTGGGATTACAGATGCCTGCCAACACGCCCGGCTAATTTTTTTGTATTTTTAGTAGAGATGGGGTTTCACCGTGTTAGCCAGGATGGTCTCGATCTCCTGACCTCGTGATCCGCCCGCCTCGGCCTCCCAAAGTGCTGGAATTACAGGCGTGAGCCACCGTGCCTGGCCCATCCTGGGCATTCTTAATTGGGATTACTGCATTTTTTTGGTTCTAGAATTTTTCTTTCTCCCAAATTTGCCCTGTAATCTTTTCATGGTTTTCAGTTCTTTGCCAAAATTTCCAATCTTTTCATTTTTTCTCCCTGAACATTGCAAGCTGATAGCTTCAATATGTCAAGCCTGTGCATGTTTTGTTCTATTGAGCATGTTTCCTACTAATTCTCATTCATGATTGTTGTTTCCTTGTATGCTGGTTTATCCTTGTGTGACAGAAATTTTATTTGAAAAATTGGTTTGTTTGTACAGATGTAGGATGACATTATATACCTCCAGAAAGGATTGTGCTGCTGTTGTTCCAGGCACTTGAGAGCACTAGCCATCTGGTATCGCCTTATTTCAGGACTATTGAAATTTCTGTCTGATAATTGTTTATTGTGGAAGGGATGTCCTATGCCTTGTAGGAAGTTTAGGAGTTTCCCTGGCCTCTCCCCACTAGATGCTAACAGCATCCCTTCCCAGTCCTGACTATCAAAGATGTCTCTAGACATTGCCAAATGTCCCTGGTACTTGAGAACCACTCCCTTAACCCAAAACAAGGTGATTTTATCAGGTTTAAACATAATGGTGCCTGATCTCACTTTTGTACCTCTAACACATCAAAGTTTCCCAGCCGCTCAGTAATCTTTTTTAGAATCCCTGGGTGGAAAGCAATGCCAAATGTCATCTTTATCTCTTTGATCTTCTCTCAAATCTTAGTTCAGTAATTTTTACTTTGTAAAGTCTTTCAAGTAAATTTTTAAAAATTGTCTTTCTTGTTGCTCTCAGTGAGGAGACCCATATTACCTACCATGCCTCAACATAGGATGAATCTACATACACACATTACTGCTGCCTGGACAACACCCTGCCATATCCTTTGATTTATCTGCAAATGTGGTTATAGGGCTTCCGTATTTACTGTCTGCTTCCCACATGGGTCATTATGCTGCTTGGAATAGGCTTTCTCTTTTTTGCCGTTCTTCAAGAGAAATGTCTAAAGAGCCAGTCTTCAGCTCTAAGTGTCAATGGCCTCTTCCCAAATAGAATGTGTTTAGTGTAAATGCCCATTCGTTTTTATTAGTGGTGTGTTTCCTCTTTGGTATATTGTAGGTCTTGAAGACAGGAGCTCATACGGTGCTTTCTACAATAGCTGCTTACAGAGCTTAAAAATCTTCTGGTCTAAACAGATGTGGAAATTGAAATGCAAAAAGTCCAAGTGAATAAATAAAGTACTGTTGTGGGCTAACTAGAACTGAAAGAATATCTCACCCCTAGAGGAACGGGAAAGGCCAGAATGAATCAACTCACATGCAGACTAAGTAATCGAGTGGCAAGGTTTGGGTTCAGGAAATGAGACAGTAATTTCCAATTGTGAAGTTCAAAAGGGGATGGTCCCAGGAAAAACAGTATTGGCTGTTTGTGTAGAGCACCTCGGACATAACTAACTCCATCTTAGAAAAAGACTTTACTTTATATTTCATAGGGCACTTTGCCAATAAGGATAACATGTTTTGTTTAATAAACATATAAAGAAATGAAGATTGCATCCAACCAGATAAGTTCACAAACAAGCACACTCTTCCACTATCAGTTTTCACCAGAGGACTCTGTGACCATAAAAAAAATTAAGCCTTCAGGAGCTTCAAACAGCCATCTTAACTGACACAGTCTTGCAGTCACTTGTAATAAAAACTTGGTATCTACCACTGAAGGCTTTGCCACCTCAGAGGCTCTTCCTTGCAAGACCTACTGTATTAGCCCATTTTCACGCTGCTGATAAAGACATACCTGAGACTGAGACATACCTTACATTTCCACATGGCTGGTGCGGCCTCAGAATCACGGCGGGAGGTGAAAGGCACTGTTTACATGGTGGCAGCAAGAGAAAAAGGAGGAAGATCCAAAAGCAGAAACCCCTGATAAACCCACCAGATTTCGTGAGACTTACTCACTATCATGAGAATAGCACGGGAAAGACCGGCCCCCGTGATTCAGTTACCTCTCCCTGGGTCCCTCCCACAACACGTGTGAATTCTGGGAGACATAATTCAAGTTGAGATTTGGGTGGAGACGCAGCCAAACCATATTATTCCACTCCTGGCCCCTCCAAATCTCATGTCCTCACATTTAAAAACCAGTCATGCCCTCCCAACAGTCCCCCAAAGTCTTAACTCATTTCGGCATTAATCCAAAAGTCCACAGTCCAAAGTCTCATCTGAGACAAGGCAAGTCTATTCTGCTTATGAGCCTGTAAAATCAAAAGCAAGCTAGTTACATCCTAGATACAATGGGGGTACAGATATTGGGTAAATACAGCCGTTCCAGGCCAGGCGTGGTGGTTCACACCTGTAATCCCAGCCCTTTTGGAGGCTGAGGCAGGCAGATCACGAAGTCAGGAGATCGAGACCATCCTGGCTAACATGATGAAACCCCGTCTCCACTAAAAAATAGAAAAAATTAGCTGGGCGTGGTGGCGGGCGCCTGTAGTCCCAGCTACTCAGGAGGTTGAGGCAGGAGAATGGCGTGAACCCGGGAGGCGGAGCTTGCAGTGGGCCGAGATCGCGCCACTGCACTCCAGCCTGGGAGACAGAGCGAGACTCTGTCTCAAAAAAAAAAAAAAAAAAAAAAGAGTGCCTCTATTCCAGAGAGGCAAGACAAACATGTCTGTGCTCCAATATGCAGATTGAGGGAGGGAAGATTTGGGGAAAAGTAGGAAAAAATTTGAAAAAGAAATCTAAAACCTAGATTTAGGACAAAAATTAGAACAAGGGAAGGAGGAGAAAGACTAGAGAGAAAAAACAGGGCAAGCTGCTGTAACAGATTGTATTTTCCAAAGATGGTCTCACCAATATACATCCCATCTTACATGCTCTTACAATGTGGCATTGACATTCTTCCATCAAGAGGCAGAGTCTAGTTCCCCACTTCCCCAGTCTGCACAGATCATTTATAAATAGCTCAATATGAAAGTGACTGGGTGTAGCTTCTGAGCTTTGGTCAGAAAGCACATTACATGTTTCACTTTGGACCACTCAAGACGCCCATGTGGAGAGGAACTGAGGCTTCCAGCTTAGAGCCAGCACCAACTTGCCAGCTGAGTCAGCTAACTAGAATGGGCATCTTCCAGTCCCACTCAAGCCATACAGTTTTCAGATGATGACAGGCTCATATTAATAATTTTTTAGATGACAGATATGTTAATGAACATATCACTACAACCTTATGAGACACTCCAAGTGATAACAGCCCAGCTGAGCCTTTCTCAAATTCTTGATCAACAAAAGCCAAGAGAAGTAATATTGTTGCTTTAATACACTAAATTTTGGGGTATTTTGTTATACAGCAATTAATAACTAATATATTTTCTCCTACAATTTATCATTGCACAATGATGGGCATGAAGCAAACATTACCTTCAGAAGATTTGGATTCAGTGGCATCTAATGTGCATGAAGGGCCAGTGGAGAACTTTAAAGTCTTTTATTTCCATAATGACAATCACAGCAAGGTGAAAGTGGGCAGCCGATCTGGGGGAGAATATTTAGCCTCAGGGATTTATAACCTGTGCTATGGTTTGAATGTTTGTCCCTTCTAAAACTCATGTTAAAGTTTAATTGCCGTTGTAACAGTATTAAGATATGGGACCTTTAAGAGGTGATGAGGCTATGAGGGCTCCACTTTGATGGGTGGGATTAATGCTGTATGAAAAAAGCTAGGCCCCCCCTTGCCTCTGTGGCCTGACTTCTGCCGTCTGATGATGCACCAAGAAGGTCCTTGCCAGATGCTGGCACCATGATATTGGACTTCTCAGACTCTAGAATTGTTAGACAATGCATTTCTGTTTATAAATTGCCCATTCTCAGGTATTCTGTTACAGGAACACAAAACGTACTAAAACAGATGTTAGTTGGACCATCAGCTTCATAGACTATTTAAAGACTAGGCAAAGATGTATACTCATTAGCTAAGCAAGGGAGGGTAAATCTTGGTTAGACCAGAGATGAGATTCTTCCTATGGTGTGCTGGTATTTTTTCCTGGGTCCTTATGACATCCAGGCCTCTACCCTCACATAGGTGTTGTAATTCAGAACACAAACCTAATAATGTTTCTCAAAAATGTTAGCGGCCTTTGGATTCTTCTTTTCAAAGAATAGTTCTAGAATATTTCTCCATGATAGAGTATTTTGAAGGAGAGAGCGGTCTAATTTGATGAATGAATCCATCAGTTGGAAGGGCTTTGGCCTTAGTGTCAAGAAATCTGGGTTCTAGTCTTGAAGTGTTCACCAACAGTAAGTGTGATTTTTAGCAATTCCCTTGAACTTCAGAAGTTTTACTGAGATATTTTCTCCAATGTCCAAAGATTTTTGCAGCTCACTGACTATGATTTAGAAGATTTTGTAGTGGTGAAATGTCTTCCTAGATAATAACTATGTATGTTCATTAAACATTGCTATACATAATAGGGTATATTGCAGCAAATATCTAGAACTGTAGCGTACGGCATTCAGGAACACCAAAGAAATGAATTAACTAAAAAGCACAATTACATTTGTATTTAAATAGAAGACTGTTTTGCTTAAAGTGTTTTATGTTTATAAAATACCTGCATGCTTCATATTATTCCTTGAAAAGAATGTGTACCTTGTGCTTAGTAAAAGAATCCATACAATTATGTTTCTATTCTGTTTCTCCAGTTTATTATTTTCAACCTATAGCCTGAAGTCACCAATCTCTTTGTGCCCCGTCCCTTGGGCAATGTATATTCAGGAAGTGTTGCTTTTGGGTAAGCCTTGTTGAGACAATGCCTGGCTGGTTTTGTCTGTTGGTTGTTAGCCTTGAATGTCTGGCCAAGTTGCCCACAGTTGATAGGGGACAAATGGGAGAAAAACGGAAATACCAACGATAGACTTCCTCAGACTCAGCTCTTGCAGCTCAGAATAGTGTACCCGAGTGGTAACGCAAGTTAGAAATGACTGGTGTTCTCCACATTACAGTACTACTGGGATATTGCTTTACATGCCTCCTGAAAACAAATCTGCATTGCACACCAGATGGACATGAAACCAAGATTTATTAAAATACCCTTAGCATATTTACAATTGAAAGCCATGAATGCAATTCTCTGTAAATTCCAAAAAATATAATTCTCTTAAAACAAATTAACAGAGGTATCAACAGATTAGGATAAATATAATCTATCACAGAGATAGAATTTTTTGAATAGACAATTGACGTTTTTCTAATCAATATATATTATGTACAAAAATACACTTGATATTGTGACCAAGTACTGTCAAGGAGGAAAAAATATATATATATAATACACACATTTTTATTATGTACAAATCAGTGTTGGTTCCTTCACTCTCTTTTTAAAAATAAATACTTCATTTGGTTGCAAATGACATTTATAAATTCAACTCATGAGCATTTCTCAGCTTTGACAAAATTAAATATGCAAACAAATTAGAAATACGTATTTTTAAAAATGCAAAGGGAAAAATACCTGAATCCAATGAGCTTATTATGCTTAAAAATATCCCAAGAGCGTGTAAGGTTTCATGTCTTTAAAGGGCCTTCTCCTTTCCCCAACTGTCTTCATTACTGCCTACAATCTTTTCAGATTATATCTACAGACTGGTCTAATACTTAATTAAACAGAAAAGCCTATGTTTTACCAGGTTAAATGGCTATTTAGGACATGCTTGCACTTTTAAGTGCTTTCAAGAGTGTAGCAGTTACTGTTCATCTGAAAATAACCAAGAAGTGTCAACATCCTGATTCAGAACAGGGGTAGATGTTTGAATCATGAATAGTAGTAAGAATGGAGCGGCAATAAAAATCCTTATGATTCAAAGTGTTTGCCTGCACAGAATTAAGTCAATTTGTCCAGCACCACAGAAAGTTACTTGAGATTCAAAAATCTGGCGTTCTGCATCATAGCTGGTGACCCGGTCTGATGTACAAATTTATCAAGAGAATGGCCTTAATTAGTTTAAGGTAAAATCTATGAGAAATTGAGAAGGCCTAGAATAAGAACCCCCCCCCCACCCCGCCCAATCTTCTTAAAATAAAATAAAAAGAGACGTATTTTCCATCTCTTTTATGGATTTTCCTTTTTGCTTAAGTGATGAGGTGATGCTGACATTAACAAGAGGCAGTCACAGCAGTGTGTCTCACATGGGCTCCTTGGTGACAGCGGAGCTCCCTGTCCAAACGGCTGAGGAACGGAGCACAGGGTGTGAGAGGATGGAGGAGGGGCCAAGGGAGCTACTCAGTTGTCTATGATGCAGAGGTGTGAAAAAATCTGGGTCTGGGGGAAACTGTAAAGTAGGAAAGAAATAGCCATGGAATATGAAGGAAAAGGACGAGGAAACAGAAGTATTGAAAGAAGAAAGTGAAACAAAGCTAGAAGTCAAAATGACTTTTGAACAGGCATGGAGTAAACAGGGTCTATGGTCAAGCAGCCCCATGGATCTGAAATTGTTGGAGCTGTTAAACCAAGCACAGACCAGTTTCACTGGGGTACCTGCTTTCCCAGTACATTGGCACTGATCAATACAAGATCAAGGGCACTCACATTTGCCTAATACAGATGCCTTGAATTTCCACGGAAAAGCTGTCCACGATACGACCATGGCAAAAAATCACCAGCTCCCTAACAATGTAATCTATCAGCAAAACATTGCACTAGCCTCGTTCAAATTTTTCTCCTCCATGCGTCCTTTTTTTCTTGCTCATCCCATTGCTTGCAAACTCACAAGATACCAGTTATATGAAGACATAAAACTGCATGGATCAGGTGCACTTTAGAAAGCAGCATCCAGGGTCCAGGGTGTCACTAAGAAAACTAAACCCTGAAGTACTTGAAATAATTTACATTTCTGCTAGGTCTGATTCATACTAGGATGTTGACTGCCTTCACTCAGGTTCTAGGCATGCAGGCCAGTGCTTATTTTCCAGGCCAAAGCACGATCCCCTAAATCAAAGTCCAAGGCCACCCTGCTTGCCATGCTAGTCTAAATGAAAACTCAATGAAAGAAAAAGACTATGATAAACCAATGTTTTCTCTAAAGATTCTTAAAAATTATCCAATTTCTAATTTTAAAAGTTTCTGCCTTTTTAGTATTTTAGATTGGTTCTTTAAAGGGAAGTTCTTTTTATTAATGCATACTCTCTTTGAAGATAAGACATCTAGCTGACAGTAGGGTCATATTACTTATGCCTTGGGAAATTACAGAATTGCACAATTATAAATTTAATAATTTTGGAGTAGACCTATCCCTTAGGTAGATCCCCAAAACCTATTTGTGTCATTGCGAGCAAACAGAAGAATTGATACTAGACTTTCCCTCTCACTCATGGATTTGTTTTCAATGGAAATGGAAGCCTTCCAAATATTATGCAGAACACAATCTCAGTGGCGCTGAGCTACCTTCTTTATGCCTTGTGGTCCAATGTATGAAGAAATAAGATTTTATCTAGAGACAAGTTAGCATGAAGCGAGGAAAAAGGAGATATTTATAATTCACAAAAACATCTAAAATGTAAAGATTTCAAATGTCCTTTTAGTCCCTTACTGGGAAGAGCAGTATAATTTTTGTATGCTATAAACTCCTTTTTATACATCTCCTATAAAGAAATCTGGAATTCAAAATCCATGCTAAGAGTTTCCAGAGTGTTCATCCCTCAACACTTATCATCCATGTCATGGGGAGGTAGAGAGTAATTTCCCTGAATAGCCAGTGGTCTATGGGACTAACCTTTCATTTGGGAAAGACAGATCTGGAAAGCGAACCCAGTTAACAGTCAAAAACACATTCGTTTCATAAGAGGAAAGTGGAAGAAAGCCCCTGAAGAGAACAATGAAGGAAAGCAGGTACACGTTTGCCAAGGACATTAACAAACAATTGCTAATGTGTGCCTGAAATCTGATTTCCTTCTTGATGTATTAAGATAATGCATTGGCAGCTCACACTATACATGGAGAGAAATATTCATATTAATTTAAGACGTTCTCATAGTTTCAAAGGTAGAGAGCCCCTCAGTGTCTGCACAGGTAGAATTTAGGAAAATGTTCAGCCTATGTGAGAGCTATAGTGTGGTAGAGGTTGTTTAATCCATGCCAAATTCTTTGGACGTGATTTTCTGCCTGAAACTATAGTCTTCTTTGCATTTTGCTGGCCCAATGTCATCAAGTTTCACACAAAGCTTGGAAAAATAGCCCACAAGTGTAGTTGGATCAGCCTTTAGAAAAGGAGACTAGAGATTCTCAGTATATTTAAGAGAAGATTTAAAAATAGAAAATTACATAAGCGTAGAGGGAATGTAGAAAAATAAATTGATGGCTATATCTAACACCTTCATATAAAAATGGAATAAAAGTCAATCTTCCCCACATCAAGAACTTCAGAGATGTAATATAAAGTCTGGAGTTCACATGAGCTCTTGACTGAAGGACACGATCCTATCAGAGAAAGGTAAGAGAGAAAAGGTCTTCTATGGCCCTGGTTATCACCATAGTTAGGAGAAGGGCTGGGGATAGAGGAGGAAATGAGTTCCGTAAGTTCCACCAGACAGCAGACCTACTGAATGAGGCTTAATTTGCTTCCCTAATCTCTCCATTGGTAGAAATTGCATAGTGGCTTAAGAGACAGTTAGCCAGCTGCCATTTTAATATCTTCATGTTTCCAAGTTGTTAACTACACGTTTCCCAAATCCTAACTTTATATCACAGTATTGGTTAAGAGTCTTGGAACAAATAAGGATACTGAATTGGCTTCAAATTTGACATGTTAAAACTCTCTTAAATTCATCACTTTCCAACAAAGCATTGATCTGGAAGTTCAGTAGATTGCCCATTCCTTGGGAAGGGAGATGAAGAATTGTGAAACCAAAATGCAGTGCCTCTAATAAGGTGTCAACAGCGGACAGGTGTGCAGAAATGACACAAAATGGGCTTCCCAGTCACAGACAAGCTGTGTAACTGAGCCCGGTTATGCCTGGATTCAATTGCTAATGGAGAGATGAATATCATTATGTAAGTCTAAAGAAGAAAGATATGCTAAGTCAAGTATTTGAAGATGCTTTTCTTTAAGCCACTTCTATACTAATAACAGTTTCCAGGCAGCTGGATTGTTTCTCTCTATAGCTGGAAAATGGAAATATATCCAAGTTATTTGCATTTTGGAAAGGCTAAAAATTATCCACTCTTTTCAAATCCCATCAGCTTGGCCACACAGACTGGTTTCATCTGTGTTGCAGATTTCTTTATGAGGTCAAAGTAGCAGACATGAATGAAAGTTCACTTCTTTATTCTCTCCACTCTCTTCAGTTGTAGGGTCCCTAAAGGTAAAATAACTAATACAAAACAAATTTTAAAAAGTGGAAGCTTTTTCTTTCCTCTCCACTTTTTGGCCATTTTTGTTTTTATTAGGACAGACAGGATAAAAGAAAAATGAAGCTCAAATATAACTGATGCTTGTTAGCAATTTAAAAAGACAATTTAAACTGTTTTATAAAATCAGATATTTAATATTTGGATCAGATATGTGGGAGGGGGGAAGGCTATATATTTTTGGACTTCTTCCTTTTTGTCATATAAAGCTCCAAATTGATTTTATCTTTGTTGTTTTTGTGGATGGAGATGAGTACTACAAAATTGACCAATTTAGTATGTCAGGGAATGAAGAGGTTCCCCGGTCAATGTTACAGCCTGGTTCCTGGAAAAAGAGCCTGCAAGCGTGCATTGCTAATTCCCATTCACACACTGACTTGGCGCAATTTGCTGTGCTGTTGTATGCAATGATCTGCATCAATGACACTGGCCAAGGGAGAAGCAGAAACAGAAATGAGGACATGTAACTTTCAAGAAAGGAAGAGTATCATTAAAATGAAAATTTCTCTGTTGCAAACATCATAGAGAAAATGTGCAATCCCAGGCCAATAAGCAAATCTTTGCCCAAAATAAACATATTTCTTCTGCTACATCTCACTGCGGCCCTTAGAAAAACCGTACCAATGACTTATCTTACTGGAGGTGTTAATACCACCAACATATTTTATTCCTTCCTTCAGTTTTTCCAGTTTCTTTACCAGCAGTATCTGAACTTTTCATTTAGGAAACACCATTCTTCATGGTGCTTATGAAAACAGGAGGTGCCTGAAGGAGGCTGAGAAGAGGTTTGCAGCTTCTACTGTCCTTGATAGGGGAGGGGAGGGGAGACTGCATGCCATCTGATATTCAATTCCTCAACCATACTGGCAATTTGTTTTGGCTAGAACATTTAAAAGTGTAATAGCTCCACTGGGTTTCCTTATTCCACTTCTCAGATTTCAGAAAATCTTTATAATTCCTGAGTAGTTGCAGTGAGTGTGTAGAAAGACACCATCATCAACATAAGGATTCAAAAGGCAACTGTTGGGCAGTAGGACCATCACCTATGACCTCTGGGCCCCCACCGTCATCATAAACATCCACTTCTGCTTGGCCACACTTTTTCTTATTTCTTTTTCCCCAGTAAGCTGCCACTTATTGAGATAAAAGCCATACAGCACACCTCCTAACCTGGTTTTTGATACTTCATGGGCCTGATGCTTTTTTTTTTGAAACGGAGTCTCACTGTCGCCCAGGCTGGAGTGCAGTGGTGCTATCTCGGCTAGCTGCAAGCTCCACCTCCTGGGTTCACGCCATTCTCCTGCCTCAGCCTCCCGAGTAGCTGGGACTACAGGCGCCCACCACCACGCCCGGCTAATTTTTTGTATTTTTAGTAGAGATGGGGTTTCACCGTGTTAGCCAGGATGGTCTCAATCTCCTGACCTCGTGATCCGCCCCCGCTTGGCCTCCCAAAGTGCTGGGATTATAGGCATGAGCCACCACGCCCGGCCCGGGCCTGATGCTTTTTACCTAACGTGTCTGTAGTGTAATTTATGATGTACTTTGTGTAATTTATGTAACTTATGATATTGTGTGCTCTGATGCTGTCAATTGCTCATGCAAGAATCTGAACTACTGTCAAACTGTGTCCTCAGATTTAATGAATATTGTCTAAGAGGAGACAAAGTTGTTTGTAAGTTAAGGGTTCTTAGAGTTACTACTAAGTCAGGTGTGTCTGGTTAGATGCAGCATAGCAAACTGGTTACTCTCCTTTCTAGTTCAGGGAGGGCTATGCCTAGAACAGCCACTTAAAGCCTGCTGGCAGGATGTGCTTAAGCTGCCAAATGGCATCCCGATCACCTCCTCTCCAGGAAAAGTTCAGATCCTCCTGCTACACTGAACACAAGCTCAACAGCATTTTAGAGGGATCATTTTCAAGGCCTCCAGATTATTTTAGATGAACTTCCTTGAACAAATTGTCATTGACCTTTACTGAGCATCAATTTGAGTTAAAAATGAAGGCTGTGTCAGCAACGTGGTACATTGGTGGACTTGGGAGGGGGCATCCCAGATACATGATGCAGGGTTCAGAATAGGTGAGAATAATGAAGATTCTGCCATGGTGTCTTACAACACTAACATCATACATCGACTAGTGTGACAAAACCACTAGGTTTCCCCAACCGAGGCAGGCAAACCTTGCTTTGTAGAAATAGGTATTTTACTGCAAAGTTTTAGTCTGTTCACTAGGATGAAATCCAAAGTGGGCTGTATTTGTCTAACTCTCAAATTAAGTGTTCTCACTCATTATTCTTCAGCACTGGTTCCTGAAGGGTTACGTGGCCACAGTGGCAGCCCTGCTTACCTTCACTGATTTCTCGTAAGCATCCTACTTACAGACCAAAGTGGACTGCAATGAGTACACCTCAAACCTCCCGCTGCTCTCACCATCAAGCCTATAAGGATTGAGACTTCTGCTGGCCCCACATAACTCAAAAGAGCTGAATTATATGGCATGGGTAAAACTGGCACTTTTCTTGTGCATGATAACACTAGAAGGAGCATACAATGGTTATAAGTGGAATCAGTTTTTAATTGATCCGTTCTTTTGGTTGTCTTCAGAGTTAAGTGAAAATGAAGAGAAACTATGTAAGAAAGCAGCATAAAAAGCTTCTTGCTCACAAGCAACTTCAAGCCTTTTTAGTCATGCATGTTCCTTCTCGGCTTTTCTGTTTTGCTTGTCTCGTTCCTTCATTGTGAATTTTAAAAATCCAACCATGTTACCATATTCCTTTCAGTTGCACCAGTAGAAAAGGCGGTTAGCACCTGCATGAATATGGCTTCTGTGACTTGATTTGATCCTGACTGCAGTCTTCATTCTCGAAGCTGACATTAGATTAGGATATGGTGCTGCTTTCA
The DNA here is from genome assembly GCF_000001405.40 of Homo sapiens. Classification (NCBI taxonomy): domain Eukaryota; kingdom Metazoa; phylum Chordata; class Mammalia; order Primates; family Hominidae; genus Homo; species Homo sapiens. The sequence continues at coordinate 2,291,201 of NW_012132920.1, forward strand.
TTACTGGATCTATTATAGAAGCATTCCTGAGGGGCTGCTGGCTGGCAGGCATATCCTGGGAAGATGCTCAGGCACCTGGCAAGTCCAGGGGTTCTGGAAAGATGCTGGGGCAAGGGGCAGGCCACATGTGGAGGCTGGATCAGGAAGGAATTTAAGATTTCTGCTCATCTCTGGACTGTCCTCCACCAATTGGGGGGAGAAAGCTCGGCCTCTTCAAGGCCTAAAAATGAGTCTTTGATCATATTGTCCATTCATCTCCAGTCCTCTTTCTTCACCCCTCACAAGATTTCAGAGACGTGGCTTAAAGACAAAAGTGTCAGAGAGGTCAAAGGTGGTTTCCTTATGTGACTCAAGAGCCAGGGTCAGAAAGAGCTGCCTGTGAACAATATTCCACTTGGAAGTTTTCTATTAATGTAATTACTTTCATTTTGATGTAAGGAACCTTTTTTCTGCCCTTCAGTTTTTTTGACATTAAAGAGTCCTGCTTCATCCTACTTCACATGCCTATCAGCCAAGGTCATGAGCAGGTGCTGTGAGTTGCATTTGCTCTCCTGTCTGGAAACTGCCTCCTGGGGATGGGGGTCGTCCAGCTGCACAGTCACAGCACATAACGTAGAACTCGGCTGCGTATCAACACAACATTGCCCATTCATGAACGGTCCAAAATGTAAAAGGTGCTCTGCCGCTGGGTCTCTTGTCCAAGCACACCCAAGGCTGTGCTTGCTCAGGTATTACATTTTCTCCTGGGAGTTGGGGTGCAGAATCTCTGCTGGCCCAGAAAAACCACAAAGGACCGATGTAAAAACAAGAATGGGCCTCACTTAACAACTGATGTCAACTCCTTGCATGGTAACTTGTTCTCCAGGATGAAGTTTATGGCTATTTGTCTCCCTCTCTCCACCCAGGTATGATTCTGTTTTTTCTCCTTTTCATCACGTAAACCATAACAACAAAAAATCATTTTTTTAGTCTGGATAATACATGTTCTTGGACCTCTTCAAGAATAGTTTTGGTGAGTTGCAACATTATTGGAGAGAAAGATGCTGCAGGATTTTGCTGCAACAGGATCAAAACTAAGACCAATAATCAAAACAGCAGTGTGTAACGACAAAGACTTGAACTCTCCCAAGGCAACTGTCCTCAATGATCTTTTCTCTCTTCTGTGACAATGTGACATATATCAAGCTTTGGTTATAAAGCTGGAAATCTCAGCTTTTAAAAAAATTTTGGAAACATTTTGGTATTTCTTCTGCTCTTAGAGTGGACTTTGGGCTTCCACAAGAAACAGTCATCAAATATTTCTGCAATGTTCCCTTAAATAGTTTTCCATTGTTCCTGCGGCTTAATGAGGGACTTCTTAAAGAAGGCATGGGGCACTCTCTGCAGATGACCTCAGAAAGAGATGAGCAAAAACAAACATTTAGTGACACATCTTTCAAGAACGTCCTGCAACCCTGTGGTCACAAAGAGTATGCGTGCAAGGTCCTCCACCTCCAGTGCCATCATTTCCATGTGTCTTCATCTTAGTTAGTGGTCACACTGGCTTCCTTCTGACGCAGTCTTTCTTTCTGTTAAGGAAAAAAAAATGAATGTATCATTTTCTTTCATCTTTCTCAAGTTTTGATACATTTCTCAAATTTTGGTCTAGAATGCTGAGTTTCCGGAATTGTGCCAAATGGCCTAGAAATGAGAGTACCTCTACTGCTTTCCCTAAGCTCTTAGTTATCTGCCCCTCCCTACCTATCACCCTTACTCCCCAGAAAAACAAACAAGAAATCAATAACCAGCCAATCTACCAACTACATCCATCTAAAACACGGGCCTTTACCATGCCAGGGTGGTCTTTTCTGTTCTCTTCTTTTGTGACAAAGACCCTAACTTTGTAGTGTTACTCAAGGACCCCTTCCGTCCCTACCTTTGGCTCATTGATGGAATTAGAGAATGCCCAAGAAGATATGAAAAAAAAAATTACTATTTCCAATGATCAACTTGGCAGAACTCAACAAAAGCCATGCAAAATGGGAGATGACCAGATTTAGTCTCTGCAGAATGGCAGAAGTTCCCGATTTGCCATGGATGTTATGCTCTTCATTCTCCGAGCTTCCTCCTCAGAGACTGCCTTCTAAAGGGAAGGACATGGACATCTGCTGGGAAGACGTAAGAATACACAGGAGCACACTACACAGAAACATGGACCCCCATGGTATCTGTGACACTAGGGAAGCACACATATCAGTATGGTAAGGATGGTGTGCCTGCTCTGGGAGGAGGGTAAATAGAAGGCTAAAATGGAAAAGGGAGAAGTATACTCTTTTGGAATGAGCAGATGCAGAGAGAAGCCTTTGAGAATGGATCCTTAGCTGCTTATGAGCTATGAGATATGATGTTGCAGTGAATTACTAAATTGGCCTAGATATAAACTTAAGTTGATGATTTTTCGACACCCATCCTAAATTTGGACCCCATCCCTAACTTGCGAAATTGAATCAGGAATCAGTTTACAAGCTCTTCCCTGATTTCCACCCACCCACCCACACAGACAATAAAATAAGCAGCCCCAACAAGCCCAGGATCACAACTGGGAGCTTGCTCACAGGGGAGGTCGTAAACCCACTGTTTCCCTTTTGTCTATATGGCTGACCCCATTCTCTCTGCCTTGGGGGAACAAGCTTGGCTGTAAAAGTCTGGATAGAGGCCCAAATAAAAGGTCTGAGGAAGAGGGAGAGGCTCATGAAGGAAGAAGACAAAAATCAGGGTTCAGCCGACTGCCACTGAAAGTCATACAAATGAATGTCATAAATATACCATCAAACGGGTACAAAGGACATGTCCGGTTAGGTAGGGGCCATGTGCTCAACCATGGCTTTCCCCGACCAAAAAGTATAGCCCGGACTTCTCCATTTCTCATTCATCAACCTCATGCAACATTCATTTAGCTGCTCATGGGGTTGTTGGGAGAAACATTATGGTCAATCAACAGAAATAATCTCACTTTGTAACTTAGAACCCATTTATATTTTCAAAGGATTTGAAGCATCCAGCAAAAAGGTACTAATAATCTAAAAGGATAAAGTAAGTAGTTGTTGGACATCAGGGCCCAGAGAGGACAGAGTTTGAAAAATCCGAGAGAGGAGGGTGATACTTCCACTTCCCACTCATTGCCATTCCCCATTGCAGGGTCAACCAAAGCAGCTGAAATTCACAGCAACAAGGAAAACAACTAATATTTATTGAGCTCTTATTATGTGTTAGGCATTTTACATGTCTTTTCTCAGTTTTCTCAAAATAACCCCAAAAAAAAAGTAGTATGTTCTTTTCATGGAAGAGAAAGAAACAAAGTAACTTCACTAAGGTTTTACAACTATTTAAGTGGCAGAGCTGTGATCTGAACCCAGGCCATTTCATTCTCGGCATCCTGGGATCCTAACCATGTAGCTATTCTGACTATTGTCCGTAACACCTAGGTGGAGATTCATTGTGATCTCTACTGAAAACTGGACTTTGGAGGACAACGCAATCTCACATATAGGAAGGCTGGGGAGACTGCTGGTTTCCAGCATAGGGAGAGATGTCAGGAGACCCAGAATCTGGTCCTGGCTTTTGTTATCCACTTGCTAAGTGACCCTGGGTAGGCTGTATCTTTCTGCACTTCAAATTTTCCAACTATCAAAATAGGAGAATCCCTGCCTCTTTCTTTAATGGGGAAAAGGAACTGAAGAGAATGAATATATTTAAACATTTTGAGAAAAAGATACTTTGAGATAAGGGTGACTGTACTGCGGGTAGGGTGTGGAAGGATGTGAAATGGTAAGTGACTAAATTTGGTTTATCAGAAATGACCTATGTTGAGTTTACAGGAAAAACATATAAAGCTATGTTTTGTACCTCCACCCACACATACTTTTTTTTTTTTTTTTTTAACCATATGCTACTCTGGGATGGGAACTGAGAATCTGGATACTATGTTTCATCTCTGAGCTTTAGCCCTTCCTGGGCGCACCTCAATTTTCATGACAATCGTTAGATTATGTTGAAAAATATATCTCACCAGGCTAGCAGTGGGATTGATTTTCTTTGTCTCCACTTTCTTCTCTGAAGTCAACTTGCTGACTGATTCCTGAGCCATTTTCAATCTGAAATAGAAATAGGGAAAAGACAGGGGAGAGAGGGAAAAGAAAGGAAGAGGGAAAAGGAAAGAAGAAAAGAGTTAAGGCAGGTTAAACATAAACCCAAATGCTTTTGAATTAATCCATCAGCAATTTGAAAATACTGAAATGTTTTTTCAATGCTTGTTATTAAATTCAAATCCTAATTAGGTGTGAAGGCTTCTCTGCTTTATCAAAATTTAATTTTCTTCACCAGCTGAAGCCTGTTTTTGTGAACAATGTGGTAGTTTCTGATGGATGGAGTACTATGTGCACAGAGCATTATTTACTTCAGTGTTATCCGGCTTGTGATCCACTTAGCAGATAATGAGATGATTTTGAAGAATGAAGTTCTGAGGAAATGTGAAACTACAAATACTAAAATTCACGAATTCACATCAATTAAGATGTGATAACCTATAGAATGGGAAAAAAGATAACCTACGGAATGGGAAAATATAAATATATGTATTTTTCATTCTGTAGGTTTTTTTCCATTCAAAAAATATATTTATATATTATATTTATATATTACGTATATTTATATATTATATTTATATATTACGTATAACATATAACACATTTATATATTACGTATAACATAACATTTATATATTACGTATAACATATAACACTTTATATATTACGTATAACATATAACACTTTATATATTACGTATAACATAACACATTTATATATTACGTATAACATAACACATTTATATATTACGTATAACATAACACATTTATATATTACGTATAACATATAACACATTTACTTATATATTACGTATAATATATAATACATTTACTTATATATTATGTATAATACATTTATATACTATGTATAATACATTTATATATTATGTATAATATAATACATTTATTTATATATTATGTATAATATATAATACATTAATTATATATTATGTATAATATATAATACATTATATATTATGTATAATATATAATACATTATATATTATGTATAATATATAATACATTATATATTATGTATAATATATAATACATTTATTATATATTATGTATAATATATAATACATTTATTATATATTATGTATAATATATAATACATTTATTATATATTATGTATAATATATAATACATTTATTATATATTATGTATAATATATAATACATTTATTATATATTATGTATAATATATAATACATTTATTATATATTATGTATAATATATAATACATTTATTATATATTATATAATACATTTATTTATATATTATATAATACATTTATTTATATATTATATAATACATTTATTTATATATTATATAATACATATATGTATAATATAGAAATATATATTTTATATATATATATATTTTTTTGAGACAGAGTCTTGCTCTGTTGCTCAGGCTGGAGTGCAGTGATGCGATCTCAGCTCACTGCAACCTCCACCTCCAGAATGGGAAAAATATTTTTAAATCATATACCTGATAGAAACTTGTGTCTGGAACACAGAAAGAACTCTTACAATTCAAATAAGAAGACAAATTATACCCCCTCCTCTAAAAATGGACAAGGGATTTGAATAGACATTTCTCCAAAGCTGACATACACATGGTCAATAAGCACGTAAAAAGATGCTCAACATCATTAGTCATCAGAAAATGCAAATCAAAACCACAATGGGATACCACTTCACATCCACTAGGACGGCTAGAATCAGAAAGGAAGACAGTAACAAGTACTAGAGATGAAGATGTGAAGAAACTGGAACCCTTATACACTGTTGATGTGATTGTAGAATTACACAGTTGCTTTGGAAAACAGTTTGGCCGTTTTCCAAAACGTTAAGCACAGAATTACCATATGACCCAGCAATTCTACTGCTAGGTACATAAATATATCTATAACTAAGAAAATTGAAAAGATGTCTATATAAAAATTTGCATATGAATGTTTATAGAACCACTATTTATAGTAATCAAGAGTAGAAGCAACCAAATTTCCATCACCTGATGGAAAAATTAAATGTGGTATATCCATACAATGGAATACTACTGAGCCATAAAAAGGAATGAATTTGCTGATACATGCTACAACATGGATGTACCTCAAAAACATTGTGCTAAGTGAAAGAAGCCAATCACAAAAACACATGACTCTATTTATATGAAATGTTCAGAACAGGCAAATCCATACAGAAAGTAGGTTAGCAAAACTATGGGTTTCCCCATGCTGGGGAAAATGGGGAGTTATTGCTAACCAGTCAAAGATTTCCTCTAAAATCAGATAGAGGTAATGGTTGTAGACCCTTGTGAACATACTAAAAACCACTGTGTAGTGAAGTGATACTAATGTGTATGGAATTGTACACTTTAAAAGGGTGAATTTTATGATATGTAAATTCTATCTCAATACAACTTATTAAAAATTCATTAATTCAGCATGATAGTATTTCTTACCCATCAGGTTGGCAAATGTAAACAATTAGACAATATTAACTGTTTGTGAGGATGCAGGGGAATGGGAAGTGCCACACAGTGCACTAAGGAGAAGAAATTGGTCTAGTTGGGTTTGGCAATATCAAGTAAAACTGAAAGCATGTACACTCTACGAGCCATCAAGTTTTCTTGTAGGGAGATACCAAAAAGAATTATAAACAGACACAGAGCTTTCACTGTGGCAATATATGCAATCAAGAAAAACTACAGACAACCTAATGAATAGGTTCAACAGGGTGATATATGAGAATAGCAAATAACAACTAACATTTATTGGGTACTTAATCTGTACCAGGTGCTGTTCTACCTACTGTATTTGAATTAAACTTAATTTTCACAACTCTGTGAGATAGGAACTTCTACTATTCCCATTTCATAGGTCTTAACCACCATGCAATGTGCAATGCTGCTTATGTACTGTATTCATTCAACAGAATAGGGTATAACAGTGAGAAGGAATGAACTAGATCTACAAATTCAAAAATCACAGGAATCAGAGGCATGATACTGAGAGTGAAGAATCCTGCAGTGATACAGTGAATAGTCCATCTGTGATGATGGTCAAGAGCTCAGGCTCCAAAGCCTGATTGCAGAATTAATTCTCAGCCCTATCACTTATTAACTGTGTGACCCTGCACAAGGGAACTCTCTGTGTGCCTTATTTCCTAAAAAACATGACAGTAATAGTGCATGCTACATAGGATCAATAAGAGGACTGAGACAGTATCAGAAGCATGTGAACCAGAGCAACTCCATCTTCAATAGAAGCTGGGTAAAATGAGGCTGGAACCTTTTGGGCTGCATTTCCAGATGACTAAGGCATTGTAAGACACAGGAAGAGACATGAGGTCAGCACAAGATACAGGTCATAAAGACCTTGCTGATAAAATAGGTTGCAGTAAAGAAGCTGACCCAAACTCTCCAAAACCAAGATGGCCACCTAGTGACCTCTGGTCGTCCTCACTGCTACACTCCCATTAGTGCCAAGACAGTTTACAAATGTCATGGCAATAGTCAGGAAGTTACCCTGTATGGTCTTAAAAAAGGGAGGCATGAATAATCTATCCCTTATTTAGCATGTCATCAAAAAATAACCATAAAAGTGGGCAGCCAGCAGCTCTCAAGGCTGTTCTGCCTATGGAGTAGCCATTCTTTTATTCCTTTACTTTCCTGATAAACTTGCTTTCCCTGTACTCTACAGACTCACCCTGTATCCTTTCTTGTGTGAGATCCAAGAACCCTCTTTTGGGGTCTGGATTGGGACCACTTTCCTGTAACATCTTTCTGGCAACCACAGAAGGGACTATAGTGAGGAAACCCCTGACCCAAAGGCTAGCTTTGGGTAACCGGTGGGGTCCTGTATCAGCAGTACAGCTCCAGGCAGGCGGTAATAGCAGAATAAATGTAAGCTGCTATTGTTACTTTGCATGCAGTATGCTACACTGTGCGTATAATTTTAAATTGAACCCATACATACAGACATCTATCTGTATTTATATATGGATACACACATATGAAAGTATTCAAAATAGACTAGAAAGATACTCAATAATTTCATGATAGAGGTTATTGCTAGAAAGATCTGGGAAGAGAATGACACTGGCAATAATATGCCAAGTAGAATTTCATTTTATCTGTAATACTTCATTTTTAAACTTAAAATCTTAAAGAATATATGATGCATGTTAATAGTTATAATTCTAGGTAGTGGGAATATGGGTGTGATATGCTATCTTTTATATTTTTATTTTTAAAATTTCTTCAAAAAATCTTCAAAATAGTAAATACTTAAAGATCTATCAACTCAGACATTTAAAAAATATGCTTTTTCTTCCATGCTTCAAATAAAAATATCTTACTTAATATTAATCACATACTTGTTGGCATCTGTAAGTGGCTGAGTAGCTTAGCTCTTTATTTAGCTAATGTTATACAATTTGCTTAAAACACACATTTAGTAATCCCATCTCCCTGCCCACATGCACACGTTAGTTACAATGAATTCAACATTCTTACTTGTGCACTGGACAATAAATTAATTCTACTGTTGCAGTGGGAAAGCAGCCATCTGAAAAATGCATCAACGACCGGGCTATGCTATGTTCTGATAGATTTTATTGACAAATACTGGTAGTGGGCCAGATCCGGCTCATAGGCTGTAGTCTGCCAATTCCTGGACTGTATCATAGGATTCAAAATCTTATGCTTTTGGACTGGCAATACAATCTCCCTGCTATAAACCCAGTTTACTTATCTTACCTTTTCAGACCCAGATCTGTTGTTGTATTCGTAGTATGCTGGTTTAATTAGCTGAGTATCCTTGGATAAGTCATGTAACCCCCAAACCTCAATTTCCTCATCTCTTTAAAGTGTGAATAATACCACACCTAATAACATTGTTGCTATAAAAATTAAAGAAAATACTATATGTGATTACTGATCAAGCATCTTTTCCTTCACCTCACTCCACGTGTTCCATGACCCACCCAAACGACTTACATTCTTTGTACATGGCTTTTTCTCACCTTTGCATCTTGCTTTTACTGTTCCCTCAATGACGGTCTGAGTCATTTCCATGCATGCAAATTCTTCCCATTCTTCTATTTACAGCTTAAGTGTCAAAGTCATGAAAGCTTCCTTCATCTCTCTTAGCCAGAAGTAATTGCTCTTTTCTTAAATGACAAAGCACTTTGTGCCTCTCTTAAGGTACTTAAGGCATTTCATCTTAGAACTGAGTAGGTGTCTTATTTTTCTTAAACCATTGGAATGACTTAGGGACAACGAGCAGGATTTATCCATATTTGGGACCTCTCCTTGTTCCTTTACCCAGCACTGTACCATGCTCAAGTCAGTTCTTAGTATCTACGTGACAAATGACATGCATTGATAACTTTTGTTTTTCTGACTTAAACAATTTAAATGTTTAGTAAATAGTTATAAAATGATTGCTTTTTGCATTTATCCTTGGGAAAAAACTATAAAAACATTTAGAAGTGTAGTTCCAGTTACTGATTAGCTGATTAAGTCTTAAACAAGGAAAAAGAAAAGATACTCAAGGCCACCCAAATGTGCTAAATATTTACACGTGTCATCTTATGTATAGATTCCAAGATACTTAAAAGTATCCACATTACTTTGCCCACAAGGAGACTAAGACTCAGTGAGGTTATGTGACTTTGTCCCAAGTCTGGAATTTATTTCTCCCACTTAGGAGGTAAGGGCTTTTTGCATTTAATCAAAGAAAATTTGCTGGTTAGACAGTTTCTAGCTGCATACACGCTCAACCTCCTCATTGTTTGTGGACTTGTTTTTGTTTCTGGCCTAAATGTTGGCTCTAATGTCCATCAGTAGATGACTGGACAAAGAAAATGTGGATCACATACACCATGAAATACTATGCAGTCATAAAAAGAATGAAATCACGTCCATTGCAGCAACATAGATGGAGCTGCAGATCATTATCCTAAGTGAAATAACTCAGAAAGAGAAAATCAAATACTGCATGGTCTCACTTATAAGTGGGAGCTAAACAGTGGTTACACATGGACATATAGAGGGAAATAACAGACGCTGGGGGTGGGGAGAGTGGGGAAGACAGTGAGGGTCAACAAATAATCTACTGGGTACAAGGTTCACTCTTCAGGTGATGGATACAGTAGAAGCCCAAACCCTGCCACTATGAAATACATCCGTGTAACAAACCTGCACAAATCCATGTACCTCCTGAATTGATAAAAACAAAAAAAAATAAAGGTTATATGGCAATCCTTACAAAAGAATTTGGAAATATAGGAAACAAACAAACATATCAGAGAAAGAAAATATATATTCTCAATTGATAAACGTCTCAGTAAAATTTTTGAAAACTTTATCTTTTCCTCTTTCTCATTATCATGCATATGCTCCCTAAGGAGTTATTGGGAGCCCCAGTAAATACCAAGTGCTGCCAAAGACTACTGAGGAAAGACACAAGTGTAAGATGGGAAAGTGAGTCATGTCCTCTGATGTTCTTGCCTAGTCTTGACTCTGTAGAAGTTGACTGTAACCTGGCCGGGTGTGGTGGCTCACGCCTGTAATCCCAGCACTTTGGGAGGCCGAGGTGAGTGGATCATGAAGTCAGATCGAAACCATCCTGGCTAACACAGTGAATCCCCATCTCGACTAAAAATACAAAAAATTAGCCAGATGTGGTGGTGGGCGCCTGTAGTCCCAGCTACTCAGGAGGCTGAGGCAGGAGAATGGCGTGAACCCGGGGTCGGGGGAGCTTGCAGTGAGCTGAGATTGTGCCACTGCACTCCAGCCTGGGCGACAGAGCGAGACTCTGTTTCAAAAAAAAAAAAAAAAAAAAAAAAAAAAAAAAAAAAAAAATAGTTGAAGTGGCGTGGCTTTCCATTTAGAGATTTAGGCTCCCCACTGTTATAGCCTCATCTTTTGGGAAAGCCTATGGGCATACTGTGGGCTTTCTACAGGTTAGAGGCATACAGCTGCAGCTAAATCAAGTCAATTTTCAGAATCTAGCCATCTGTGAGACTGAGGAAGTACCAAGTCTTTATTCTTTTGACATTCAGTATTTCACTGGTTTGTGTTGTACAAGGCAGAAGATACTGAAATCATTATGAAGTTTGTAATAACAGAAGTGCTTTTATTTTTGACCACAGGGATTGAGCACACCAGCCAATCAAGAGATAAATGAGATATGGAGGAAATGGGGCAGATAAGAGTGTTCAGGCTGCTTTACACTCCTTTTCACTATTGGAAAATCCAATAGTTTGGAGCAGTGTTTGTAAACTATTTTTCAAAGAGCTTTAACCTTCAGCAAAGGTGTTTCAGGGAGAAGAGGCAGAATTAGGGGATCCTCCAGATGCCAATGTTGGCAAGCTCTGCTTCAGTTAGAAAAGCTTTACTTTGTTTTATACATTGATGATTTATGTATGTTTTTAGACAAAAAGAGGTCTGCTTTTTTTTTTTTAACAGAACTTTTTGAAGCTCCTAGGGGGAAAAACAAAACAAAACAAAACAAAACAAAACAAACCTTCCTCTTCAGGAGAAAGACAACAGAAGCCAACAGAAAGCTTCTTCCTAAAGAACTGTCTATGAATATCTTAGAGGTAGACAACTGATTTAAGAAGACCAAGGGGATGATTCTTCTGACAGCCATAACCACAAGATTTCAGATTTTGGGCTCCAGTAAAACATCAAATCTACAAAAATCACAACATGGCCAGCTTTCCCACTCTCTTCTGCTTATTACTTTCCAGGTAAGTTCTAAGCCTGTGAGATCACCAGTGTCTGGCAAATACAGACAGGCACAGTGGGGACAGATCCAGATGAACCAGACTGTGGAAATAAGTGGGGCACCCATTTATTTCCCTCTCATAAAGGCAGAGATTGCCTCACATTTCATTATGATTCATTTTATTTATGGTCTTTTCTGGAATTTTGCTTGAGTTCCCTGATTTCTGCCCTATGCAACTTTCCAATGTCTATTTGCCTCCTTTGCTTTTAATAGCTTCAGAATGAAAATTAAATAGAGCTATCTTATTACACCTTGCCTATGGCTTCTCCCAACTTAATTCTGTGACTGCAATTAACTTTTTTTGGAGGGGGGTTCATCTGCTCATCCTCGTTTCCTTTCTTTCCCATTCAACGTATCTGTGTGAACTGTAACAAGACTGTCAACCTGTTAACTTTTGAGTAACTCTTAAGTATGATGCTAGGGGTGTGTGTGTGTGTGTGTATACGTACGTGTGTGTGTGTGTGTGTGTGTGTGTGTGTGTGTGTGTGTATATATATATATATATATTTTTTTTTTTTTTTTTTTGTAGAGATGAGGTTTCACCATGTTGCCCAGGCTGGTCTCAAACTCCTGAACTCAAGCAATCCACCTGCCTCAGCCTCCCAAAGTATTAGGATTACAGGTGTAAGCCATCAAGCCCAGACAAAGGCTAAGTTATATTTATAATGAAAAAAAGGAATTTAGGCTGATGACTGGCGTCTGGACACAACAGGTCTCAAATCATGGTTCAGGTTTGGGTTTACACTCTAACCTATGGAATTAATTTTAGTGTTTAAAAATAGGTAACTGGCCCCTGAAAATTAGCGTTATCTTTTAAACACCTATGGGTGATATGTTAGAAATTCTCCTAAATAATATGATTGGTTCATTTCAGTCAGTACAGAAAATACAATCTGGTAATACTATCAGGGCATTTTTGTTAATACATTACTTGCTTTTGTATTGTAGACAACAGGACCAAGAAGTGACTTCAGGAGCAGAGGAATAAACTTTTGGCCTCTAATGCTACTAGCTTTAAAAAGAAAGCCCTACCAGCTACCTAGTACAGTGTGACTAAAATTAATCACCGCTCGACTCAGATCATGTATGTTTCTTGATCCAAGCCATTAAAAGTTAATGGCTTTGGAAATATTGGCAGACAAAGGCAAAGAAAAGAGACACATTGAGGGAATATGGTTCATGAAAGGCATCTTGGGAAACACATGAGATCTGACCAGCTATAATATGAATCTCTTTAAAAAAAGATTTTAATATCACTCGTTGCTAAAGAAAGAAGATAAAAATGGTCTAAAAAATGGATACGGTATGCTCTGTGTGCCAACAGGTAATGTGCCTTTAAGTCAGCATGCCACAGGAAATGTCCACGTTCCCTAAAAAGTAGGATGATAAAAACTGAAGGTCCAAGCTGCTGCACCACTGGACTTACCCTAAATGTAAAGACAGGAGTTCAGAATCTCTCTAATAAATGCAAGAGCTCTTCATTCTCATGACTGTTCAGAAATACATGGACGAACATGATAAACAAAGGAACATGCAAAAAACACATTTTTACCACTGGCTCAGTCAATTCTGGCCTATGGTCCTTTGGAATGGTGAATAAGGTTTCCGTGGTATAAAAAAGGTATTGGCCCTCACTGTAGATCACACCTGTAAAATAAATGACTCACCAGTCTGACTACCCAATATAGCTTTGCTCTACCAGTCATTATCAGGGACAGCTTCTATGAGCAAATAATGACACTCTTATGGTCTCCCTTCAGAAGAAAAAGTCAGAAAAGGGGTATATAGAGCTTCAAGGATGAAATACAAAAAGGAGTGAATATTCACTCCTTTGCCATGATCTCCTTGCAGCTTTGAACTAAGTCACATCAGGCCAAGGCACAAGGAATAACATATAGACTTTGGGGCATCAGGGAAATGGCTTCCTTGCCTCAGAAAGCTCAATATCACATGGTTTATGGCATTTTGAATAGAGAAGATTGAGGGCAACGTTTTGATCTTTTTCTCATTAGGCTTACCTGAAACATAGATGGTATTAACGCCATAAGGGCTGTTTTAAATATGCTTTCAGAGGGATATGGCTGTGTCCAGCCATCCCTCCAACCACTGCCTGGTGGCCTGAACATCAGAAGTAAGGCTCTGTCCACTCTATATAGTTTGTTCAGGTCTTTTGATACTACTCGAGTCTATACAAGGTACAGCCCCCAGTTCCCAGAGCGAAATTGTTTCTCCAGGCGAAAACGGGCTAATGTCCAACTTTGATTCTAAATAAGTGAGATCGTAGAGACCTGACCAGGGCTGTGAGGACCACTCTCATTTCTATCCATCTTGACAACAGTCACTCACGAGGCATTTCTGAATTCCTGACATAACTATCGCACGAGGTTAACTGCTATAAAAGTCAATGAAATAAGTAAAGTCACTCCCTACTGTAAGAAAAAAACAACAACAAACTCATTAATTTCTCAATTTAAAGGGAAATTTTTTCCTTGCTGCAGCAGCTGATGAAAACATCATTGACTAGGCTATGTGGAATGTTTCCAAAGGGTAGAAAAATAAAACTAAGAGAAAAGAGCCATAAACAGTAAGAAAGAATGGGTAACCCCAAGTTCATTTATCCCAGGCAGGCCAACAAGGCCACATACTTAGACAGACACACTCTTCCATGCTCATTTTCTCTTCAGAGTCTGACCTTCGGCCCTGACCGCTCTGGCACCGACCACCTCCTGTGCCTCCCAGGTCAGTTTCACTAGCAGCCATGATAAAACAGACCAGCAGGAAAGTAAGAATACCAGCAGAAAGTAATCTTAGGCTTAGCTCCTAACACACCAGAATTTAGCCTTTAAAAGTTATTCCAGTTGGGCATGGTGGCTCACACCTGTAATTCCAGTGCTTTGGGAGGCTGAGGCAGGACTGCTTGAGGCTAGGAGTTCAAGGCCAGCCTGGGCAACACAGCAAGACCCTCTCAACTAAAAAATGCTTTTTAAAAAATGAGTTGGGCATGATGATGTGTGTCTGTAGTCCTAACTAGTCAGGAGGCTGAGGCAGGAGGATCACTTGATCCCAGGAATTGGAGGTTACTATGATGACACCACTGCATTCTAGCCTGGGCAAAAGAATGAGACCTTGTCTCTTAAAAAAAAAAAGTTATTCCATGATAAATTAGCATATCACTTCTACTTTGTCCAATTGTGTACTTTGTCAAATCTAAATCTGACAATTTTCCCTACTCTATTCCTAAGATATTTTCCTATTTAAAAGTAAAAAACTTCTCTTAGAGACTGCATGCATTTCACCAGCTACACAGATCAGCCACTTCATAGTTTTTGTGAGCTATCACTTGTATACCCAAACATACTTTGACTTCAAGTGATTAATTGCAGAACAAAGTCCTCTTCCGTTTGCAGAGCTTCTCCCCCAGGACACAGGGGAGTTGAAGTTGGGGAGCCCTGGACTTGCCCTGGAATGCATGATCAGTTAAAGCCAATCACTCTGCACTTAGTAGACATAACACCCAGAGCCGACCCGGCGATTTAGGTGCAGAGTGAAAGGTAACAGCATCGCATTCATTTCCTCATTTAGGGAGAGTAGTCTGGGAGACAGTTTGAAAACTGAAATCAGCCCTGTGTCATAAATTTGCAAATTTAATTGAAATGCATTAGTCTTTGGAAGACATTTCCAATCCCGATAATGAAGACATGCATGTGCTAGCAGATGCAAGCTCCCCCTTTTGGTTTTGAAACCTCTACCACCTACTGAGTCTCACCAAAAACTAGCACTGAGAGCCTGTTTGCATGGGTGACTGGAACAAAAGGGTGAGGAAACAGGGAAGATTGTCTGGAGTAAGGAGTCTCTCTGGCGCCCCTCAAATCATTCTACCCAGGCAGCCCCCTGTTGCATCTCTGCCCAAGGCAGGAGCTGTCAGGAGTCCCACAGATAAGTAATTTAGAAATATTCTAGGCTGAATGAAGGAGACATACTTTAGGTTTCCATTGTTCTCTGCCAAGCTAGGGAAATGGAGTGCGGACAGATGCTCTCTAAGGTTTTGATTTGAGCTCCAAAGAGGTTTGAGGCTTGGCATAGCCATGAATCCAAAGGATCTCCACTTCCTTCTTTTTTTCTAAACAAACTGAAAGTAATACAGTCAAGAACAGAGCTGGCGATTGTTTTATTCCATTAACTAATCTTTCTTGTTCTGAACATGTCTATTCTCTTTAACAAAGCTATTAAGATTTTAGATTCTTGGGCAAAAGCAACCCATATGGGATACATTTAGGGACTTCTACCACCAAAACCCAAATAAACAAGATTTTTCATCTATCAGCAGCAGACAGCAAATCTTGCAATCAATTTCAACATGGCAAAAGGAAACACAATGATTATTTATTTGTTCAACAAATACTAACTCAGCATCTACTATATATATGGAAAAACAAGGTGCTACAGAGAAAACAAAGTGGTACAAGACATTGTAATTATCTTCTAGGGGCCTATGATTTATCTAAAAGAGAAAGTGCCTATAACCAAATGAATAAAAAACCAAATCATTAAATGACAAAACTGAAGATACAGTAAACCCCCAAAATTCTGGAGATACGATAGCTCACACAGATTGGAGAAAGCTTCATGAAGGACACCGTATGTGATCAATAAATTTTTCCAGAATAGTTTCATAGTCTGTATATCACTTGAGACATAATATTTTTAGATTATACCATTATGTAAATATTATAGTAGTTTTAAAGTAGAGTCACACACTGCATAATGACATTTCGGTCAAAGACAGACCTCATATATGATGGTGGTCCCATAAGGTTATAATGGAGCTCAAAAATTCCTATTGCCTAGTGAAGTCATAGCCACCATAATGTTGTGGCACAACTACTTTATTATAAAAATAAATTTAGTGTAGCCTAAATGTACAGTGTTTATAACATCTACAGAAGGGTACAGTAATATTCTAGGCCTTCAGATTCACCCACCACTGACTCACTGACTCACCCAGAGCAATTTCCAATCCTGCAACCTCCATTCATGGTTAAGCGCCCTACACAGGTGTACCATTTTCTATCTTTTATACTGTATTTTTACTGTACCTTTTCTGTGTTTAGATATGTTTAGATACACAAATACCATTGTGTTACAATTATATTCAGTACAGTAACCTGCCGTACAGGTTTGCAGCCTAAGAACACTAGGTTATGCCATACAGCCTAGGTGTGAAGTAGGCTACACCATCTAGGTTTGTGTAAGTACACTCTATAATGTTCGCACAATGATGAAATCACCTAACAATGCGTTTCTCACAATGTATCCCGCTAGTTAAGTGACACGATTCTACGTGTTTAAATTAAGTGCTGCAAATTTATATTATAGGAATGTGCAAATACACAAGAGACTGGAGTAGACCAAGCACTCAAAGGAGGAAGCACAGAAAAGAAGGCAGTTAGGCTGATCCCAGGAATAACACTGCATGATTCCTCCAAACGCATGTTCAGTCACCCAGGTCCGCCTCTTTATGTCTATGTAGCCAAATTCATCTGCTGTCAATGCCCAGCTCATTTTCTACTTAAAATCACAGGAAGTCAGGGTTGGAAGAGAACTGCAAGATCACCTGAGCCCAGGAGTTTCTAAACTTGGCTGAAGGATCACTAGGAAGGTGTCAATCTCTGATCTCCAAAGCCTACCTGGTACATGTAAACAAGAGGATGGTGAAGCCAAGGCATTTATTAAGGAAACTAAACACAAAATGTGTTCTTGCTCTGCCATCTCTGTGGGGAGTTTCTAAAACCACAGATTTCTAGACTCTACACTCTGGTATTCTGATTCAGTGGATCTGTTTACATTTTTACAATGACCTCCAGGTGACTTGGGAGATCTGCCAGGTTTGGGAGCTGCTGATCTCTAACACTGCCCTACTGGCTTCTGAATCTCCTCTAAAACTATCTGCTTAGGGTGGTCCTGATTATGGCTAAGTGTCTTCTCAAAGCTCCCTGTAGCTTCCACATTTCCTTTGGATCATTTCTTCCTCCAAACTCTTACACCAGCCAAGATCTTCAATGCTCTTTCAATATCCAGCTGTGCGCTGGAGAATGCACCATACAAGACACAGCAAAGAACAGGCTTGTGTCCTAGAAGTGGAAAGATACACATAAACTGCTAAAATAACAAGTTGGAATGAATTAAATACTAAAGGATCGTAAGAAGAAAATGCTGTCAGAGCCCACAGGAAAAGCTAATTCTTTTATTAAGGGAGATTTCAGAACATTTCTACAGAACCTGGTTTCTGGAGGCAGCCCTTGAAAGACGACTCTATTTTGATCAGCAGGAAATAATGGGGGGAATGCGGTATGAAGAAATTATCCAGTGAGAACACAAGGAAAGAAAGTGCAGGTGTGAGACAGTGAGTGGTCATAGTAGGTGCAGGGAGGGATGAGGCTATAGGAAATGAGGCTAAAGAGTGAGTTTAGGGCAGGTTCTCAGAGGGCCATGCTATAATTTGGGAGAGAATATGAAGTTCTTGAAAGAACTCAAGCTTTAGTGTAAAAAAAAAAAAAAAGACCTAGGTTCTTATCCTCATTCTGTTTATTAATGAAACTATGACATTGAAAATTCATTTACTCTCTCATGCTTAGCTGTGAAATAGCAATAAACCTTTTTTTTTTTTCCTTCAGGGCTGTTGTGACAACTTAATACATTAATAAATTAAAGTACCATCCATGGCTAATTATCTTTCCTTTATTTCATGAGCAATGGAAAACCACAGAATATGTTTAAAGAGATAACTATGATCTAAATTCTGTTTTGGAAAGATAATTGGATGCAATATTCAGGGACACTTCAAGAGGAAATAGAAAACCTCTAGGCAGAGAGAAGAGTTAGAAGGATGTTTCAATAATCCAAGTGAGAGATGATAGAGTCCTGAATCAGAGCAGAGACACCTCAAATACAGGGTAAAGAACAATCACCATTAAGGGGGCAAAACTATAAAGAGTCAGAAATAGATGAAAAATAAATCTTGTAGCAGTAAAAATAATTCTCATTCCAGCCTGCCTTTTGCTAATAGGAGGAGGATAGTGTTGCAATTGAAAGTTAGGGAGCCTAAGAGGAATAGGCCTTAGTTGAGATGGAATAATTTCCAACCGAGACATATTGAATTGCAGATGAAGGCTGGGTATACAGTTTAATGTGCAGTAGGAAATGTAGGTCTAAAACTTGGGAGGCCTTGGCAATGAGGTGATAGGTGAAGCTGTGAAAATAGTTGGGACTAACAAAACAGAGAATAGAGCAGAAAAGAGGAACACTGAGATTTACCTTGGGGAAGGCCCACACTTAAGGAACAGAAGAAACAGAGGAACTAAGGAGGGAGATGAAGAAGGGGAGTAGTCACCTTCGCAGAGAGACCCAATATATTATCAGAGCAACGAGGCATTTCGAGATGGAGGAAACTACCATTGGTGTCAAAAACTAGCAGTGGCACACTTTGGGAGGCCGAGGCGGGCAGATCACGAGGTCAGGAGATTGAGACCATCCTGGCTAACACAGTGAAACCCAGTCTCTACCAAAAAAAAAAAAAAAAAAAATTAGCCGGGCGTGGTGGCAGACGCCTGTAGTCCCAGCTACTTGGGAGGCTGAGGCAGGAGAATGGCATGAACCCGGAAGGTGGAGCTTGTAGTGAGCCGAAATCGCGCCACTGCACTCCAGCCTGGGCGACAGAGCAAGACTCTGTCTCAAAACAAAATAAAACAAACAAACAAAAAAAACCCAAAAAAACTAGCAGTGGCAAAGAATTAGTTAGAAGGAGTCATCTGATTTCAGTTAGGAAATGTGACACAGTCTAGTAACAATCTCAATATGCAGTTCTCCTGCTTCCTTTAGTAAAGGAAACCATGAGTCTTTAGCAGGGACATGGCTCCCAGCTAAGCCTACATTTCCTGGTCTCCCTTGTGTATGGCCATGAGACTAAGTTCTGTCCAATGGGATAAAGTGGAAGTGATGTGTGCACCTTCCAGCTCATGCTATTTAATATTAAAAGGAAAGGTTGTGCAGTCCCCTTCCCACTGGCAGGAACTCAGCAGCAATGGTAGCAGTAGACCTGACGTGTGCCCCCTTACACGTTGGGAATAAGGACCTTACCTTAAGGACGGCAACCACAAAAGAGAAGAAAACTGGGTTCCTGACATCCAAACTCCTTGCATTCAGATTGTTATACATGAGGAAAATTGATTTTTCCTTTGTTTAAGCAACAGTTATTTTGGCCTCTGTTATGGCAGCCAAGACGTTATCCTTACTGAGACAGGAAGGAGTGTGTGGTACGAAAAAGGAAATAAGGAAATGAACGTAAATCATTCTTTTAAAAGAAGTTAGAAGGGAAAAGGAGACGGAATGATGCTTTCAGAGAGAGGGCCAAGAGGTGTGTATAGTTTTTTAAACCAATGATCCTATAATTCTTACAGTTTTTTAGTTTATCCTCTCTCCTTATTCATGGCATATTTTTAATTTTGCAGATGTAGTTTTAAATTTATTGCTTGGGGAATAAGCAGTTTTTATTATTTGTGATTTCTTTTTTTCTTTTCTTTTTTTTTTAAAGACAGTCTCACTCTGTTGCCCAGGCTGGAGTGCAGTGGCGCGATCTCGGCTCACTGCAACCTTCGCCTCCCAGGCTTAAGTAATTTTCCTGCCTCAGCCTCCCGAGTAGCTGGGATTACAGGTGTGCACCACCACACCCAGCCAAGTTTTGTATTTTTTAGTAGAGATGAGGTTTCACCATGTTGGCCAGGCTGATCTTGAACGCCTGACCTCAGGTCATCCACCCACCTCCGCCTCCCAAAGTGCTGGGATTACAGGCATGAGCCACTACGCCCGGCTGTTCTTTGTGATTATGACAATGTTGTTTATCAGTTAGGTCTTGGGGCATTTACTGTTTGTGTATTTGCACAGAACCATTTTCAAATGTGATTTAGGAAAATTCAAAGTTTTGACAATTAATTAGGGGGTGATTGTATTATTAAGGGATTTTTAAAAATAAGCAGCTCTTTAGTGGTTAAATGAATACAAGTCATTTAACTACATAACACAGGGCAAGGAAAAGAAAGTTAACATGTTACAAGTTACTGAAATTATCATGTATGTATGTCAGTAGGAAAGCAGAATTCAATAAATAACAATTTTATTTATGGAGCTTTTTCTAGGAGTAAGTTTATCATGTAAAGAAAAGAATTCCTGTAGTGTCTACACTGCAGTCAGTGGCTTGTGGATTGAGTGACAGCATCTCTAAGTCCCCAGCTCTTGGTCCTAAAGTGACCTGAGCAGTAGGGAGCTCTGAGAACAGCTTTCAGGATAGCCTCACAACAGCTTTGAACTATCTTCTGTAAAGGGTACAGCAGTTCCATAATCACCCATAACAGCAGCAAGTAATAGACTTAAAACAAAAACCCTATTGGTAGGTGGCTGGGTAATAAAAAAAACAGCCCCCTCGCCCCCAAAAGAAAAAAACAAGATAACTATCCATTCCCCTATGGTGTAAATTATAGCTATGTGTGTAGTGAAATTTCTTATTTTCATTTCACATAAAATTCACCAAACTTCTAATTCACTCATTACTTACCCATTATGGGGTTTTTAAATGGCACTTTTAAAGTTTGCTTTGGCTCAGGGTGAATTATATGCCCAGACTTTATTCCTGGAGTCATGACTCCCGTAGGCCTTCTGTACCTTTTGCAAATTCAAAGCTCATTTTGTGGGAGGCAGTGCTTCGTGTGCATGCGCGGGCATATGTGGGGGCAGTCTTAGGATATCCTAAATGGTGGAATGTTTTGTAAGTAAGGGTCCTATCACCCAGAATAATTCAGCAGCCAAAAAAAATAAAAAATAAAAAATAAAAAAGAGTAAAGAATAGCCAATAAAGGTATCAGCAAAAATTAGGTTACCTACTTGCAGTTATGCATATACTTGGATAATCTATTGATTTAACAGGTGGAAGAAACATGTGTACCAAAAATTCATTGAATGTTTGGATATCATGAGGTACAAATACAAAAGTGCATTAAAAGGTAAAAGTGAGGCAAAGTTGCTTCTGAGGATAAAATAAACCTTGGATTATGATACATCGTAAATGCAATGTTGGAT
This sequence comes from Homo sapiens, assembly GCF_000001405.40. Classification (NCBI taxonomy): domain Eukaryota; kingdom Metazoa; phylum Chordata; class Mammalia; order Primates; family Hominidae; genus Homo; species Homo sapiens. The sequence goes on from NW_012132920.1 coordinate 2,313,255, forward strand.
ACAGATGAGCAGAGAAAAAAACGTTTTGTGTACATGCTCCATAAAAAAACGTGATCTTCAAGAACAACATTAGGATCAGGCGTGGTGGCTCATGCCTGTAATCCCAGCACTTTGGGAGGCCAAGGCAGGAGGATTGTTTGAGCCCAGGAGTTTGAGACCAGCCTGGGCAACATAGTGAGACACCGTCTCTACAAAAATAAAAAAATAAAATTAGCTAGGTATGGTGATGCACACCTGTAGTCCCAGCTACTCAGTAGGCTAAGGCAGGAGGATTGCTTGAGCCCAGGAGGTCAAGGCTGCAGTAAGCTATGATTGCGTCATGGCACTCTAGCCTGAATGACTCAAAAGAAAACAAAACAAAGGCCAACATTAGTATTTTATGAGAAGAACTGGGGGTTCAGGTGAGGCAAGGTAGCTATAGATGTTTACCGATTTCAAGAGGGCAATGAAAATTCTTTCTGGCACCTAATCTCTCTCCCAACTCACCTGCAAGTCCTTGCTTGAAATATCTTCCAATATAGTACCTATAGCTCAAGAGCAAAGGTGAGGGGCACTATGGCAGAAGGGAAACACACAGCTCCTCAGAAAATTAGAACCGCAGTTTCTAGATTCATAGAGATTTTGAGCTAGAAGAGCTCATAGTCACCATTTAATTCCTGCTTCATCCTGATACATACATTTTACAGATGTGACAATCGGGTTCCCAGTGAATAAGTGACTGGCCCAAGATCACATAGCCAATTAATGGGGGTGGGGGGGTGGCAGGGTGAAGGGTAAAAATGCCTGTTTTCAGCTCTCTGTCTCCAGGTCTTTTTTTACACTGCTCAGCACTGCACATATTCAGAAGGGATAAGAGAAGGGACTGGGATGCTTCACTGAAAGATGAGTCCTGATACCAGGGGCAGCACGATGACTGAGTGGGTCACAGACTGCACGTCTAGAAAGTGGCGCTTTTGGATTTGTGCCTGGGCTCAGAAGTTTGCTCTTTTGCTTAAGATTGGCTTGAATGCCAAGGAAAATTGAAAGCCATTAATATACCACGACACAGTAGATTACTCTTCCAAAGATATAGTTAATCTCCAGGTAAACCATATTCCCCAGTGAAATATTGTTCCTTCTGCCGAACCACAGAGTTGTGCCCTGACACCAGTTTAATAAGATTATTGTTCACTCACAAGGCACAAGAACTTAGGACATTTTTATGTGGTCATTTGTATGTTACAGATTATTCTGGATTTTATGAGGGGAAGCTGTTATCTTGTTATGAAGATGCATTCATCTCAATTTTGTATCAAACTAATGTGTACTCATGAAAACTACCTAAGCAGGAAAAGTAAATATTCACCACCACCTAAAATTAACCTCCAGTGGCCTAAGTAGTTTTCAACACTTCCATTTCATTTGGAAGTAGAATTTAAACAAAACAGTGTTTTCCATGAAACCTGTCCCTTTGAAAATGCTAGTACTGATTCTTAATTTTTCCAATGATTTTGAGCACTTAGTTGGCCTTCCAATATATTTAAAAATTAAGTGAGTTGAATTTTTCTGATGAGATCCCAAACTAGTTTTTTTCTTTATAATTACACATCATCAGGTTTTTATTTTGGTTATGAATTTTATTTTTTAGGATGCCCTTGTTAATGATGTTATGTTGTCTCCTGATGTTTAGTGTTGTTGGGATATATTCGGTTTCTGGGGAAAGTATAATTGAAACTATAATATCAAATATCATTAAATAGATGTCAAAACAAAGCAATTATAGTGTTCCTCATTTAATAGAAAAATTCCAGTTAATTTGCTTATTTTACCATAATGAATGTGTGATTCTAACAGGAAAGAAGCTAAAATCTTTAGCAGACAGAGAACACTTTAACAAAGTTCTCACTTTAGGATTTTAAGAAAACCCTGGATATCAAGCAGTTTGTTTAAATGGTTGAGGAGTAATATACATAATGTGCTAATATTTCTTAACACACAGATTTTCCTAACCATGCTGCTGCCTCCAGAAATATCTTATTAGCCATCATCAACTTTCAGAGATGTTGTTTTAGGGTAGAAACCTTGGTGATCCATCCTCACAGAGCATGGCTGGAATGAAGGGTCCCCTGAAACTGCGAAATGAGAAGAACCAAAAAGGGTCTTGTGAGGTCATGACCCTGTAAAGGGGTTGGTTTACAGAGTGTGAAGCAGGCAATTCAACAGCTGCACCCAGGAAGCAATGCCACAAACGCCCGTGGCTGGGAATCAGAGATACTGTCATTTTGAAGGACTTCTGGATACCACCTCTATGACAGACTCACAATTTCTTTGATCTAACTTCTATGATACAGAACACTCTTTAATGTGGAATACAGTTATTTCAACAGAAGATCATTAACATATAAAGCAATTAATTGCCTTCTCTGTTGGTCTTTTGTTTGTTTTAGACCATTTTTAGGGCCCCAAGGACAAATATACTAAGGACTGTGCTCAAAATCTGAGGTGTAAAAATTCTTAAGCAAAAGCTGTACATTCCAGGCCCACTGTGGGATGTCCCAGCCTCAAGGTGTATGGACCTGGAGGGCAGACTGGCCAGCTCCTATGCTGTTTTAAGAATAGTATTTTCGTATGAGAATTGATTCCACAGAAACTTATTTTAGCTTACTTTAAAGGGCTAAATAAGTGATGGCAGGGCAAGAACTATGGGTTGGGTGCCAAGATTTTTAGGATTTTTTTTCATGTTATTATCAACGACCTATTTTCTCAACAATGGTACTTTTCTCTGCTTCAGTTTTATCTATATAATGGATATATTCAGTTTAATTCCCATGTTCCCAAAGAAGTACTGATGGGAAGATGTGTTGATAAACACATCTTTAACTTCCTTGGAAAGAAAGAAGGCCTTTCTCTTTTTTTAGCTCCCTGAGAAAATACTTAGAGACTAATACTAGGTCAAAAATCTCACAATTTTGCTCCTCTTACTAGTGTTTTAAGGTGAAATATATTAGGGTAGGTTGTGATGTGTCTAGAAATATATTATGTATATATCTTTTCTTTGATTACAAAGTGAAGAATAAAAATACTGAATTATGGAATGTCAGGCCTCACAGGTTAGTAAAAGGTAGATGCTATAATGAAATATATCATTTTCCTTACGCTGAGGAATTTTTTGTCTCCTTCCACTCTGTTTTGAATGCCATTCTTATACATCTGTTCCACAGGAGTAGTAGTAAGACCTGTTTGAAATTTAAATCCATGACACCCCTTCCATAACAGTGGCAACCCAATCACAAAAATGATCAGGCAGAAATGCTTTTTTCTGATAAATAGGGGCAAATTCAATCTCTCTAAGGAAAACGCACACACACACACACACACACACACACACACACACACACCCCGTCTATATTCAGAGTTGAGGTTTTTCTTCTACCCCCAGCTAATAAAATCGGGGGCTGCAACGAGGCTGAGCGGCACGCAGTTTGATGTCCGCAGCAGGATACAGGGAGTCAGAAGTGGCGCTGTAAATCCAATGCGGGGCTTCCACGCTGTGTGAAGTGTGGCCTGAGTCACAGAGATTTTCCTTTGATGCAAGTTCAGTATATTAATGGGAAAAGCATTCACTTTTATTTGTCTATACTGTCTGCGACAGCAAGGCTGCCTCATTTAGCCTGGGCCAACATGAAAATACACAGAGAAGCAATCTGTTGCAAATTAGCACAACCCTCCTTTCATTTACTAGCTAGTAATTGGAAGGGGTTAAGAAAGTGTAACTTATCAGATCATGTGAGCATATCTGCCTGTGTGGACAGCAAGCTTTCCCCGAATTTCCCTACGATCCCTGAGGCAAAAAGTCCTTCCCCTATGACCACTTCATCCGAAAGAAAACATCGACAGGTGTGAAATAGACACACTTTGATAGGTTTAAGAGTGCAGTTTCCTAGGCTCCTGAAGGAGGCATTAAAATCTTTTTTTGAACCTTACCTTTCTTTAGATATGTTTTTACTCTCCCGTTTCCAAATTGTCTTGAAGTCACTGCAGAACTCATACCACACCATAAACACGTAGCTGGGTGTGATCTCCTTCTCACCAGACTTTGGCTTCATCCCAAAATATCGTACTGTTGTTTCAAAACTGCAACAGGTAGGGGGGAAAATGGAATGAGGTAGAGGTGAGAAATTGCCAACACTAAAATCCATTAGAGGGGGGATGCTGGGGGCAGTTTCTCTTGTGTTTATTTTGTAACACAGAAGCTGGGGGCTCATAGTTACTGAAGTTTATTGTAAACCTCAGAAAATCTATTTGCTCAAACTGATTTGCCAAAAAATGGAACTTGATTGGGATGCTCCTGGGCACATCTTATCTGTATAAAATCAGCATGTATAATTTCTGGGGGTGTGTAGGTAAAACGTCTCGAGTTTGTTCTTCATCTCAAATCCCCGTCTCTTCCCTGCTCTTCATTTTATGTTTAGTGATTACATGCAAGGTGGATGACACACTGACTGCAGCATTAGCAGCGGTCAGTTCGATAGCTCATTGGGAATAATTAATCTGTCAAATGTTTCACAAAAAAGCAAGAAAATCCATTCTATCCTTTTTCGGGCATATACTGGCTTTGTAATCTTGGGTCAATCACTCAGCATCTTTGACTCTCAATTTTCTCAAGGGTAAAATAAGAGATGTAGATGATATGATCTTCAGGAGGGCTACCTTTTAAAGCTTAATATGATACAAGAATACAAACCACTGATGTACAAAAACAGATACAGTTGTAGGCATAGCAAGTTTTGGATGAAAAACCATTTCTGATCTTGGAAAAATGATCTCCAGTCTGGTCAGTAAAGAATCCCAATTTTCCAGAGTGGATTCCCAGATATCAGTAAGACCTATCCCAGCAAGGCTCACTGCACACCAGACTACCTGGGCCTCCCAAGCAGCCCTTCTTGGAGGCACTAGCTTTGCAGCAATTTACAGCTTTGAACTCAATCTTTCCCCCTCACCCCCACCTACCCCAAGCCTCACAAGCTCATTTGCCATGAGCAAGAACACTTAAATAAATGACCCCCTTTTCTAGGGTGTTGGAAACTAATCAAAGCAGGAATGGCTGGCCAGGTTTATTACTCAATGCTCTATCATCTGTTCAGACACAGTGGTTTTTTTTTTGTGTGTGGCCATCCTGAATACTGATTTTCTAATGGAACTCTATTCAATGGCGATTGTAAAACCCTGAAGCTCCGTTACTATTATGGAGCATACTTTCATCTCATTCTCGGTTATTGGGCAATATGTATCTCATAAGATTTTATCACATTTCACAGATGAACTGTTAATTGATTCCATGGGTACGATTAGGCGAGATCCAAGCTGGAGCTGCAGCTCTGAGTCCCATAAATTCTTTGTGCTTCTGTAAAGAATAAATCTGTTTTTAATGCAAATTAAAACTACTGGTCAGGGAATTTTGGCTCCCAGTTATTAAAAGACTGGAAATGTGTAAGTGGAGAAAGGCAATAACTGCAGTAATCTCTTAAGGGACTCTATTATAATTCCAAACATACATAATGTTGAGAAAAACCGGGAAGGGAAGAATGTGGCAATGTCCACTCTTGCCCCAGACATAACCCTTATTTCCATGGCAGTCCAAACACTGGTAAAACCAAATGTACACTCTATAGCATGTAACTTTATTTCACTCAAATGAAAATTATTTTGACTATAGCATGGGAATACATAAGTAGAGAGTTATATAACCTATAGGAACAGGCCATTCATTTCCTACAAAGTCACAGGACTTTAGAATGGGAAGGAATTTACAGGATGACTTGCCCAAATTATCATTTTATAGGTGACAAAACAGAGACCTGGAAAGACTGTGTGGCATTATTCCCTGGTAGGGTTGGGCCTGGAATTCAGGTCCCCTGATTTTCTGTGAAATGCTCTGTCTGCTTTATCTTTCTGTTGCTCATGCTCAATAACACAGGCATTTAAGAGACAAAATAGTCGTTCTACCCCACCCTTTTCTACTTTAGACACAGGTGTCCTCCTCTGTATCACACATAACATGCATTACCCCAGGGAGGGCATGTGATTATTTTTTCTCTTTCTTATGCTTACCTTCTATACAGATACATATTTATTTGAGCATTCATGGGGAAGGGAAAGTCTTTCATTTCTAGTATTTAGAGGGACAACTTATCTTCTGATTTTCCAGCAAAATATAGTGAAGTCCAGTTATTGTGCTTCATGGAACACCTGACACCTCTGGCATCACCTGGAGTCTAGATTGTGAGATCAACATATTGCAAATCCTGGTGCAGTTTCAGAGAATGTCAAGAGTGATTTGGTGGTTGTTGCACAGCCTGAGAAAAACACATCATCCTCCTGTGGGCCTCGATTTTCCCAACTCTAAACTGAAGCTAACCATTGCCCTCCTTGCCTCTCTCCCTGGGGATTTGTGAGGTACTGCTTGCTTACTCTCCCTGAAAGGGGGAGAAACACTAAAAAAAATACTAAATTTCAGCCTTTTTTTTCTTATGTGTTTTGGAAACTAAGAAAGCAAGTGAACCTCTTCAGAAGAACCAAAGTACACAGACTCCCAGAGGATGGCCTGGCTTTGGCACTCAGCAGCTTAGACAAAGATAAAGTCGCTTCAAGAATGTGCCTTATTTGGCCGGGCACAGTGGCTCACGCCTGTAATCCTAGCACTTTGGGAGGCCGAGGCGGGTGCATCACGAGGTCAGGAGATCGAGACCATCCTGGCTAACATGCTGAAACCCCATCTCTACTAAAAACAAAAACAAAAAAACAAAAACAAACAAACAAAAAAAAATTATTCAGGCGTGGTGGTAGGCACCTGCAGGCCCAGCCACTCAGGAAGCTGAGGCAGGAGAATGGCGTGAACCTGGGAGGCAGAGCTTGCAGTGAGCCCAGACTGCGCCACTGCAATCCAGCCTGGGCGACAGAATGAGACTCCGTCTCAAAAAACAAACAAACAAACAAAACCAGTGTGCCTTATTTGATTTCATTGTTATTCCACTGTTTAAGAAAATGCTAAAAGCTAGAATATGAACCTGCAATGGTTTGATAAGGCCTAGACTGTTGTCTTTCCTAGACAAAACTCCATTTTAAATTCAGTTTTGATTCACAGAGATTGACCACTGAAAATCTTTTGCAATTTGGACAAGAAAATTGTTGATATTTAACAACCAGGAGAATTTTCTCTAATATACAGGAAACAAAGGTCAATCATGCGATTTGAAATTTCTATTTGTTAGCAGATAGCTCTAAAATGGCTCTCAAATTTTAGAAGATTGATTTCTAATCCTATGTTTGGTTTTATATAACTTTTTCATTTCATGCAAACTAGTCCCTGACCCCTTTTCTCTCTGCTATAATTCCCTGTCTGATTTGTATCTTTTTAATTCAGCCAAACATTTTTAAAGTACAGACAATGATTACATCAAAGAGCCTGTAGCGAAGTGAACTGTTTTACTTTTACAGTCCTGAGATCCAGAGCGGAACACATCCACTTATTGTCTTACATGCATGCCTTCAGAAACTGCTTAGGAAAAGCAAATATGCCTTAGCCTCAGAGTAAATTGTTTCTCTTGAGAATAAAACATAAGAATTCACTAATCTCACACAAATATTGCAACACTGACCACAACCTCCTTAAAGAGTATAACCAAACAACTGTGGTTTCTACATTAAAGATGGGATCTAACATATTTCATGTATGACATGAAAGCTAGACTACCTTCACCACAAAGCCACGGAAAACGCTGACAACCAGAATTTATGACTCCCCTCCACAGAGCTAATGCACGGCAGCAGTTTCGGCCCCTCCACGCTGGGCCCCCTTTTCCTTCAGCAAGAATCCTGAAAAAGTATTAGAAATTTGACATCCGCCCCAGAAGCTGAATTTCTGTTTGGCCTGACACCAACGTGCCCTTGTTGATAATCTCTTATGTGCTGGATGTTTCTATAACACAGACGTGCTAGTTTTATGCATTGTGAAGGGAAGCTTAACATAGGAATAAGGTCAATAGAGAGACACAAACTCCTAAAAACATAGCCATGGAATTATCTCAGTTTTGAATGATTATTATGATAGGATGATAAGCACGATTTGAGAATATGTCTGTACTTAGCAAAGTGCAAGACTTGCCTTCACCTTGCTTTCACCAGCATTTTAATCTTATTGGTAATTACAGTGGGAAGCAGGGCAAGATGTTGGCACCTGTGAAAGCAGGGCAGATGGCACCGTCTATGGGATTTCAGAAGTCTCGGAAATTGTGGCTAGACAGGAGGAAAATGGTTAATTTCTACAATCTGTTTATTTGCATTTAAATTCCTAACTGGGTAACTGTTCCTCTCACACATTTGTAAAGCTCATTTGTCCTTAGATGCTGTCTCCTACCTCTACCTGTCATCTAATTTACCAGTACTTTTAGAATTCGTACCAGCAAAATGTATCTCAAATTTCAGCCCTAAATATGAGAATACCGCTGTCTATTGCCACTCACTCTTCTATGAGGGAGGGAGAGCCACACTGACTAACCTGGTCAACTAACAAAAAGGAAAAAGCCCTAAGGGATGAGAACTGCTGATGATTAGGTTCCACTGGGTGGAGTGAATGGTTCCCATGTGATATCTATTGAGAGAGTGAGCGAGCAAGAAGATGCCTGAAGTGGGTGACATGAATCTGAACAGAAGATCTCTGAGGTGTTCCCCAACTTCTGGGGGAAATTGTCCATACGCTGTATGGGCATATGGACAGCCCCTTCTCCCCACCTGAACATATGGACAGCCCCTTCTCCCTACCTGCCCCTTGTTTATAATATCCTCCTCTAGAAGCTGAGGAAAGACATAATAAGTCTCTTGGGTGTCTGCAATAATTAGTTTGATCTAGTTGTAATGCCAGGAAGGATCAAACTGTCCCTGACTTCCATCAAGCGGTTCAGGAGCAGAGCAATGCAGGACAGGCAAACAGGCAGAATAGTGTCATGACACGCATGTGAGGCAGGTGAGTCACTTCTGGATGATTCCTCACTTCCTGAGGAAAAATATTCCTAAGTCCTGCTACAGTGCTTTCACTCCAGCTTCCAAGTGAAGCTTATTGCTTATGGATGCATAGTCTTAACACATGGGGCCGAAAGTAGGGCTAGTCAAACCTTATGCTACAGGAAAGAAGTCAGTCACACAAGGACAAATACTGGATGACCCCAATTGCATGAGGTAGCTAAAGTAGTCGAAGTCACAGAGACAGAAAGTAGAACGGTGGTTGCCTAGGGACAGGGGAGTGGGGAATGGGGAATTTGTGTTTAAAGGGTATAAAGTTTCAGTTGGGGAAGTAAAAATGTTTTGGAGATAGAACTGCATAGCAAAATGAATGCACTTCATAATAATAATACAAAAGAATGGCTAGTCAAAGAAAGAACTGGGGCCAAATCAGAGCTGCTTACCTTTTCTGTGCATTCTCCAAGTGACTTTCTTCCATCTTATGCTCTTTTTTGGCTGTAAAAGATAAATCATGATTAAAAATTTTTTCTTCTGTTGTCTCCTTTGCGTAATCTTACAGCTTCAATTACACCCATTCATTACCACAGGAGGTCTGAATTCGGGGGGGGGGGGGGGGGGTAGCCTGTAACACATGTCCTGGCAATAACACTCAATTTGCTTTATTTGCTACCACTGCTTTTTTTTTTTTTAAATTATACTAAGTTCTAGGGTACATGTGCACTACGTGCAGGTTTGTTACATATGTATACATGTGCCATGTTGGTTTGCTGCACCCATCGACTCGTCATTTACATTAGGTATTTCTAATACTATCCCTCCCCCAGCCCCCCACCCCCCAACAGGCCCCAGTGTGTGATGTTCCCCACCCTGTGTCCATCTGTTCTCACTGTTCAACTCCCACCTATGAGTGAGAACATGCAGTGTTTGGTTTTCTGTCCTTGTGATAGTTTGCTGAGAATGATAGTTTCTGGCTTCATCCGTGTCCCTGCAAAGGGCATGAACTTACCCTTTTTTATGACTGCATAGTATTCCATGGTGTATATGTGCCACATTTTCTTAATCCAGTCTCTCATTGATGGACATTTGGCTTGGTTCCAAGTCTTTGCTATTGTGAATAGTGCCACAATAAATATACATGTGCATATATCTTTATAGTAGCATGATTTATAATCCTTTGGGTATATATCCAGTAATGGGATCACTGGGTCAAATGGTATTTCTAGTTCTAGATCCTTGAGGAATCACCACACTGTCTTCCACAATGGTTGAACTAATTTACACTCCCAACAGTGTAAAAGCGTTCCTATTTCTCCACACCTTCTCCAGCATCTGTTGTTTCCTGACTTTTTAGTGATCGCCATTCTAACTGGAGTGAGATGGTGTGTCATTGTGGTTTTGATTTGCATTTCTCTGATGACCAGTGATGATGAGCATTTTTTCATGTGTCTATTGGCTGCATAAATGTCTTCTTTTGAGAAGTGTCTGTTCATATCCTTTGCCCACTTTTCGATGGGGTTGTTTTTTTCTTGTAAATTTGTTTTTCTTTGTGGATTCTGGATATTAGCCCTTTGTCAGATGGGTAGATTGCAAAAATTTTCTCCCATTCTGTAGGTTGCCTGTTCACTCTGATGACAGTTTCTTCTGCTGTGCAGAAGCTCTTTAGTTTAATTAGATCCCATTTATCTATTTTGGCTTTTGTTGCCATTGCTTTTGGTGTTTTAGTCATGAAGTCTTGATAACAGACATAGCTAATAGTGGCCAAATAATTTATTGTTTCCTCTGGGATACTTTTGAGAGTAATGTTAATAATTACACCTAGGCAAAGACATAAATTAGGGAAATCTTGGGTAGATCACGACATGTGGTCCCTCTTGCACGTCTCATCATGTTCCCCCTTACTCTAAACATTATAAATCCAGTAGCATTTGCAGCAGTGCTGCTCAGAGTCATGGGAATCTTGCCGCATACTGCCTCCACACCCACAGGCCCTTTTGGCAGTCTAGGGAAGCCCATGGACTCTTGTCAGAATAATGTTTTCATAAGGTTACTAAGAAAATCAGTGATACTAAGATACAATTCTGAATCCACAGGTTAAGAACCTATGTTCTTTCTATAGGATTATCAAGAGGTTTCATTTTGGGGTGGTTCTTTTATATATCCTTCTCTACAATCAGAAGATATATTATTATATATGAAAATACCACTCTCACACTTTAAAATATCCAGAAAAATAGGAAAGTTGTTAACATAAGCTACAACATAAGTTGTTATGTTATTATGTAACATGTTATTATGTAACATAAGCCTTCAGATTCCTTTAATTTAGGGCTACAATGATGTAAAATGAACGAAAATAAGTAAGTCTCGTATCTAGGATCTATGCTGTGATACTTCATGAAAGATAAGGGATTTTGAAACATCACCCTTTTATTAAACCTGGCCCTACCACTTACTATCTGTATGACTTTGGCAAGTTAGTTAAGACCAAATGCTTAGTTATTGCCTCATCTGTCCCATGAGAACAGCCATAGTGACCATTATCATACAGCTGCTGTAAAGATTTAATGAGATAATACATGCAGAGTGCTTAGCACATAATGTGTGCTCAATATAGGCCATGGCAGGTATTAATACTACATTACCATAATCTTCCTCATTGATTTTAAAATGTAAAGGCTCCCCTGCTCAAAACCTTCCAATGGCTTGTCTTGCCATCAGCCTTGACATAGTATCTACAGTCTTCAAAATGCTCTAGAAGGCCCTGCACTTAAGTCGGCTCCCTGGCTGTTTGGTGGCATTACCTCCTCTTTCCCACACCCCTTCCTTTCCAGCTTCGCTGGCAGCTGCCTCTGGCTTGAGCGCACTGAGCGTGCACATTGGAGGATCTTTGCACTTGCTGTTCCTCCTCTCTGGGACACCCTGACCACAGTCTGCACGATGGGCTCCCTCACTGCATTGAGGTCTCAGCAGAAGTATCTCCTTCTCCAGCTTCCGTAAATAAAAGACCATCCCTTGCCACTCATCATCTTCCTACTACCCCTCCACACACACCCTCTACCCCTACCTTCCTTCCATAGCCTTCCCACAGCCTCTATCTACCTAACAGACTATTCCTTTCCTCATGTGTTTATCATGCAACAACTGAATGTAAGCTCTAGGAGGGCAGCAGCTTCACCTGGCTTGCTTTCTGCTGTAGCCTTAATTGTAGAAAACTGGCTATATGTTAAAGCAATCATTTTAGCTTAAAAATGCATATATTGGATAAAGCTTGCTTAAAAAGAGATATACTGGCTTTCCTGAAAAAACTTTATATTTAGAATATGAACATAAGCTAAAGAAGATTGAGAGGCTAATGTTGTATACCATTATCTCTAAATGTAGTATATTTCAACTAGTAAAACTTATTTTGTTTTATATTAAAATGATTCAGCTTTCATAAGTGCATCATTTTAGGCAGACGGAAGCCATGGCCAGGGCCATCTTTTGCTGTCTGATGTCCCCCCATACTCTTGGCAGGAATTTCTGTGAATTAGTCTGGTACTTAGCCAATCAGATACTGAGAAATGACCTGTGTCTCTCCTAGGTTATCAAGTTCCCCAAAATGTGAAACAAACTAGTGATCTGTTCTTCTCCAGTGATTTTAAGTTATGTGCATAGCCAAACAGGAGGAAAAATTCCTCTGAGGCCCGAGTGATCTTCTTGGACCAGCTCTGCTCTCTCAGCAGATGGTTTCTAACTGGCTACTTCCAAGCTGTGTGTGCTAAGCAGAGTGTGGCCAAGCCATAACTGTATATGAATTTAGTGACAAGAAATACCCTATTCAAACTGAATTGAGCATCAGGTAAGATTTTGCAATACCTCTGTGAATATGGTGATTTGGAGAAACAGAGTCTAAATGTAAAAAGAGGTATTATTAAGAGCCAATGCACACTGCAGAAAACTCTGAGGGTTTAGGGAAAAGGGCCTTCAGGAAAATGAGAAGAAATTAGAGATTTAAATGTTCCCTAATTTTGCCCTTGTACAGATACAAAAGGCATCTACCTTTATGGTGTGACTTGGAAGCTCTAACAGCATGAAATATTTCTCCTACTTGAATGTGTAAAATTTTAAACCAGGCCATTACACATTTTAAGTCTTCAAGATGCTCTAAGCAAAACACAAATACATGACCTGGAAGAACCATGTTTAAAGACTGGAGTCACAAACTCAAATTCTAATACCATCAACAAATAAGGTCACTGTGGGCCAAGTATAAGAATCCCGGTGTTCCAACGTTCTAGTTCTAGCTTTTCAATACGGGAACTATATATCATACAATTGCTCCACAAGAACAATTCTGAAGTTCATAGTTCCACAGCCTACCAAGTGAAGCAGAAATGGCTTTCTATTCCATGGCTATGGGCCCAAGGAATGCAAATCAGAACTCATGATAACTAACTGCCAAGCTTTAACCCTAGCTGTGTCACCTGAGTGTCATGAGCCAATCACAGTGTCCTGTGTTTCAGTCTCCTGCTCTGTCAAATGGAGATGATGATACCTACCCTCCCACATAGTTGCAGCCAGTCTTTGCAGTCAGGTCTTTGACAGTTCAACGTCATGCCATGGCTGCTGGGGGTTCAAGCTTCCAGTGGGTTGGCTGTTTTGCCAGAGTTAAATGAAGTGTAGCATAGAGGAAAGAGCTTGGGTTTTGCACCAGGTGGACCTGGGTTTAATTTCTGCTCTGATACTTATTAACTGGGTGATCGTCAGAAAATCACTTAACTCCACTGAGCCTTATCCGTAAAATGGGAATAATAAGATCTACCTTGCAAAGTGCTTGTGACTATGAGATATACTGAACGTGTGAGATTAATCTAGTGACTGACATATGATGGGCATTCCAGAATGGCAGCCATTTATTGTCTATTGGCTAGAAGCAAATGCTAGTAGTCACTACTCTAGCTTTCTGACTTTTTGGCATGGTTATCACAAAATTGCACACAACATGCTTTCTTTAGAATGTTCATAACTGCTTTCAGTAGACAAGAATTTTGGTTGTTATCATTTATGCTCAAAACTTTAGTGTTTTTTTTTTTTTCATTTCACTCACTGAGCTGATGTCCTTAGCATGGCCTGTAAAAGGCTTTTCTACAAAAGGGTGGTTCCCTATGTCTGACCTAAAGTCATTTTATTTGCTGTTTCAGCTCATTTTGTTTTATTTCATCCTCAGGAGAAAGAGAAAAACTTATTTATAATTTAACAAATAACTGGGAGTCATGGGGGTGGATGTGAGGGGAGAGGTACTTAATGATTACTCTCACCTGTTTTTTCCCCTTAATGACCATGGAGTTCTGTAATCTTTGACCTGATTAACTGGATCACTTCCCCAATACCAAATAAAAGACAATGATACAGGAGTCTTTTTTTGAGAGGTTAAGTTTTCTGAGAGCTAAGATTCCTTCCTTAACCTCTAGGCTCTATATGGTGACCTGTAACAGGTTCCCCTCATTGCACAGTAAATTCAATTCTCTTTGTTGCCACCAAAACTGCCATTTTAGAAGGCAAAGTGAACTATGCCCCTTTTCTGCTTAATGTTCTCACTGGTTCCCCCTCTGAAGACAAAGTGCATTTGCAGTTCACAGTGTGCCCCTCACACCTGCCTCCTGCCATCCCCATACTATCATCCCCAGAGCTCCTGCTGCGTGGGACTCATGGCTGGTCTCTGGACTTAACTTGCTGCATGGTGTCTTTATTTTTGGGCACTTTGCTCCTTCTGTTTCTAATGCCTTCTCTTCCTTGCCCTTCTCCCTTCTCCTACCCTTCTGTTTGAATGTCTTCTCTTTCTTTGAAAACCAAGCTTGAAAATCTCCTCTGAGGGGCCCTCCATGCCTCTCCCCCATAATGTGGTGAGCCGTTCTTTCTGTGGAGATCCAAACACACTATCTCCCCACAATTCCTTATCACAGCACACAGAATGCTATGTCAAGGTCACTGGCTTGCAGCTGGCTTTTCCCACTGGACTCTGTGCTCCTTTCAGAGTTGCAACCAAAATCTGTTTTCAGAGTTTTTCTCTCAACTATTACCTAGCAGGTACTCAAATACTTATTTTTTTTTTTCTTTTGAGACAGGGTCTTGTTCTTTCACCCAGGCTGGAGTGCCGTGATGCAATCTCAGCTCACTGCAACCTCCATCTCCCGGGTTCAAGTGATTCTCCAGCCTCAGCCTCCCAAGTAGCTGGGATTATAGGCACGCACCATGGCTGGCTAATTTTTGTATCTTTAGTAGAGACAGGGTTTCACCATGTTGGCCAGGCTGGTCTCAAACTCCTGACCTCAAGTGATCCATCTGCCTCAGCCTCCCAAAGTGCTGGGATTACAGGCGTGAGCCACCGTGCCCAGCCTTGTGTACTTATTTGACAGATGGAAAAGTACACAACAGAAGAACCCATGTTAGCAGAACACAGTCCCTACTCATTAAGTGCCTGTTTTTTGGCACAGAAATTTCTAATCTTCCATCTTTTGTTTGCAACAAAATAGTGAAGAGTAGAGTAGAACTGAAAAGCAAGAGATTACTATGCCCATCCTATGTCCTGCTTTTAGACTGATACATTAACACAGGCACAAACAGCACTAACACTATAGGGAGGCACAAATAGCATTAACCCTCCAGTTTCGTCTGTATCAGATTGAGTCTTTAAAATATACTATTTTCCACAGTTAACTTTGAAAAAGAGAAAGTTTTTATAAATAAAATGATATTTCCATAAAATATTCAGACTAAGAACATTCACCATTTAAATGTACCCAAATAACCGAAGTTTTTATTCTCAAGAGGGTGGCATTCATACAATGAGAGTGGCTGAAGGAGGAGGCCACTCTTTAAAGAAAGTGGGGCTTTTATGCCAAACGCAATTAAGTCCTATTTATGGATGCCCATCTGGGAGGCAGTAAATTGTGAAATAAGGGGAAGGGATAAGGGTTGGAGTATCTTCCTAGTATTCTTTACACAGTCTATTACACTTTAATATACCATGGTTTATGGACCTGACATGGTTGGTATAAACCAACAGGACGCACAGTTAAGAAGTTGTTTTTATTACAGCTCTACAAATATGGGAGCCGGGTGATGCTAACGAGGAAACAAAGGGACTGCGCTCTGCTTCACGTGGGATCCGTCTGATGTGAGTGTGGCAATCGTTTTCCATTTCTTAGAAAATCCCCGTTGTGCACTTTCCAGGAGAAACAAATGCTTTACACCAACAGAGGCACAGCACGCTGACATCGGAAAGGGATGGCCTTTTAACATTTGAGAGAAGAAAACAACAGATATTTGGAACCAGTTTGTGATGCAGAGTTCTTACCCTTACATTTTTCCTTCTGGTATGCTTGCCCATGGAGGACGATATCCTTGCTGGTCTTCCTAAGTTATTAGTTTTCCTGGTTGTGGTGAAATTAGAAGAGTGATCATTTCTGGTCTGTCAGAGCAAGTGTCTAAGCTGGATGGTAAAGTTGAAGAGTAGAGGGCCACCTGTGAGATTTTCTGTGTAAAGTGTTATGAGGTTGTATAAAGACATGCTGTCAAGGTTCCTAGTGTAGGGTGTAGGATTTCCAGGTCACTTGCCTAAGGCTAAAGTGGACTAGGAAACTAGGCTTTTGGTGAAAGTACCAAGTAAAGGACATTGTGTCACTACACTCTGAAGAGGTCTTCAGAGTCATAAAATAAAAAAAAAAAATCCAGTTAAAAGGAGTCTTCAAATGGTCATCTAGTCTACCTCCCAGGCTGATGTGCTATCCTGGATCCTCTTATTTCCAGTCAGACTTTGCAGACCTTGTCTTTTTCATCATTTTATTTGCTTTTTTTTTTTTTGAGACGGAGTCTCGCTCTGTCACTCAGGCTGGAGTGCAGTGGTGCGATCTCGGCTCACTGCAACCTCCGCCTCCTGGGTTCAAGCGATTCTCCTGCCTCAGCCTTCTGAGTAGCTGGGATTACAGGCACATGCCACCATGCCTGGCTAATTTTTGTAGTTTCGCCATGTTGGCCAGGCTGGTCTGAAACTCCTGACCTCAAGTGATCCACCCACCTCAGCCTCTCAAAAGTGCTGGGATTACAAGCATGAGCCACCACACCCAGCCTTTTTCACCATTTTAATCTGCCATTTCTAGTTGCCCCTTAAGTGAATTGGAGTATTTTATGGACACTAAACAAACAAACAAACAAACAAACAAACAAACAAAACCACGAAATGGTATCACCTAACTTGGGCACCTGGGGCTGTTCTCAACCAGGGTCCTTCATCTGAACTGCAGAACACAGAAAAGGATTTGAGAAGCTATTTTCTCAGTTTCCCCATATACACATCACCGGGAACATTCTAAATGTCTAGGACAATGCCAACTCATTACACACAATGGCAGAGATAGGGCAGTACGACTTAATTCCCTTACACATAGTTGAAAATGTGAGTCCTGAGGCAATCAAACTTACAAGTGACTTATAATATTAAGTCATTTACACTTTTATACAGGCTGAGTACTCCTTATCTGAAATGCCTGAGGCCAGAATTGTTTCCAATTTCAATTTTTGTCCCCCACATTTTGGGATACTTGCATATACATAATGTAATACATTGGGGATGGGACCCAAGTCTAAAGATGAAATTCATTTATGTTTCATATATACTTTATACATAGAGCTTGAAGGTAATTTTATTCTTCCCTCAAGGACACTGAAAAAACTGTCTATTGTGCTCCTGCATTTTGGCCGAGACCGTCACATAAAGTCAAGTGATGGGTCTTGTCAAAACGCAGGTGCGCAACAGACAGTTTATTCATGTCATGTCAGTGCTCAAAAAGTTTCAGATTTTGGAGCATTTTGCATTTTGGATTTTCAGATTAGAGATTCTCAGCCTGTATCTCTAAATCTAGTACGATGATATTCGTAAAATATCTTATTGGTATAACAACATGAATTACAAAGTGCTGTTTGCATACAATAGAAAGGGTCAGACCTTCTACAATAGAAATATTTCAGGTGTCATGTATTCATTTATATTCTCTGGTGACTGTAATAATAATTTGTATAGGTGACAGGTACAATTTCAGAGATCACAATATACAGTTGGCCCTCTGTATCTGTGGGTTATGGATTCCACCAACTGCAGACTGAAAACATTTGGGGAAAAAATGGATGGTTGTGTCTGTGCTGAACATATACACGCTTTTTTTTTCCTTGTCATTCCCTAAACAACACAGTCTAACAACTAGTTATATAGCATTTACATTGTATTAGGTATCATAAGTAATCTAGAGATGATTTAAAGAATGGGTGTAGGTTATAGCAATTACGACACCATTCTATATGAGAGACTTGAGCATCTGTAGAGTTTAATATCCATAAGGGTCCTGGAACCAATCCTCCACGGATACTGAGGGATGACCATAATCTCAAACACTTAACCACATTATACATCTAGTCTGTGATCAATAGTAACTACTGCAAAAGTAAACATTTTATCAAGTCACAGTTCTAGGAGGTAATCGGACACAAGTATAATTGGGATCTAAATGAAGTATATTTACCCACACTTTTTCAGAAGTAAACTCACTTTTTTTTTCCCAATATATTTTCACTAGAGATGAGATGCTTTGCCCCAAGGTAAGTCTTTCAACCATTTACAATACTGACAAAACACTTGGCCTTCAGACTTTATGAAGGATTTTGTTCATTCTTCTTAAAGGCAATCATTTGATTTGTGGCTGATATTCTACTACTTTTGTTCCTCTGCTTCTGTGTAGTCCAGTGAAGTCCCTCAATGCTGCACAACTACCTGTATGCAGAAACATCTTGGCTTCGAGTGATACAGATGCAATTCCTTGATGAAGTTGATAAGACAGTATAACCTTAACCTTGCTATAACTTAGCCCAACTATTTAATCTCAACGTGGAGAAAATGGATACCCAAGTAGATGAAGCGACTATTTGGATTACACTAATAGTCACAGAATCCAGGCCTTTTGACTAATAATTTAATAATTTTGGCTAATAATGTGACTAATAATCTACATTTTCCAACGCTCCCTGCTGCTTCCCAAGGGGCAGCATTTTTCTCCAGGATTCCCAAACACCGAGGTGGTATTTTGAAGCTGCACTGTACTACACATCTTCCATAGGAATAGATACATCAGAGAGAAAGTTCCAAGATGGAATTTCAGCTTTCACGCTAAATTTCCTGACTCTTGATGCTTTAAAACAGACCGTGGGGGTACAATTTCAGAATGATCTGGTGAGAGACTCATTAACATTAATGGGAGTCAGGTGGTCACATTCTCAAACAGGGCCTGAAATTCTCCAAGTTATACCATCTTCTAGACCCATATATGTCTTTAACTTATCACCATTAATAGAAGTGACAGATGTCTTTTGTAAAATGCTTTTCCTTAGTTATTTTTCACAGATATTTCTAAACAAGCATATTTATAAAATATAATTTTCACTTAAGGGATAATTATACATAAATCTATTTCCTTGTAATTAAAAAATAATTATACATAAATCCTGTTTCCTTGTAATGTCTACCTTGTCTCCCAGCCATCTCATTTCCAACGGGAAGGGTCTGACCTTATACAATACTTTAGAAGTATTTCAGGTGTCATGTAGGGAAACTAAACTCTATAGCCTCATCATTCAGACAGCAGACACCATTTAGGAAATATTAGGAATTGCAAAGAAGCTAAATTTTTAAAAGAAGGCTTCTTGCATTTTGTTTCATCAAGAACCTTAGTGAAATTTCAAAAGCAATGGGGTTTACAATCACAAGGCTCTGGATAACCATTTGGTGATAAATTGCAGGTATTCTAATTTGGAGGAAGCTCTTCTTTCCCAGACAACTCTGTCTCATCTTAACATTAGCACTAGTCTGAAGGTGTATAGTTTCTGAAAGGCATGGACTACGGCCTTTTTCTTTCAAACTTTGTATTCAAATGCTTAGCACTTGAGACTATAAACCTAGTATTTATAAATCGGTAACTTGTTGCTTTATTAATTGGTGAGAATGTCCACAAAAGTGTGAATTTGTAGCAGGTTCATGAGCAAAGTGGTAATAGGCTGCATGTTTATTTTATTTTATTATTATTATTATTATTTTTGAGACAGAGTCTCGCTCTGTCGCCCAGACTGGAGTGCAGTGGTGCGATCTCGGCTCACTGCAAGCTCCGCCTCCCGGGTTCATCCCATTCTCCCGCCTCAGCCTCCCGAGTAGCTGGGACTACAGGTGCCCGCCACCACGCCCGGCTAATTTTTTGTATTTTTAGTAGAGATGGGGTTTCCCCGTGTTAGCCAGGATGGTCTCGATCTCCTGACCTCGTGATCTGCCCGCCTCAGCCTCCCAAAGTGCTGGGATTACAGGCGTGAGCCATCGCGCCCGGCCTGCATGTTTATTTTTATTTCTTCTTTAAAGTAGTGTTCTTCAAAAGCAACTCTCATTTTTTTAACCTCATAGCATTTTAGTACTAGATATTCAGCAAATCTAAAGAAAGAAAGCACCTCATGTTAATTTTTTTTAATGGAAGAAAAAGTTCTCCAACTAGCTTCTTTGGGTTTCCCATAACTGCCTCTGATGATTATCTATGATATTTAGGGCCAATACTTCATTCTTCAGACTTTAACTTGTCCATATGTACACTAGATAAAATGAAACCTTACACTTGAAAACTATGGAGCTATACAAAACTTAAGAAATTACCTCATATAAACCCCTCATGCTATAGTTTAAAAACAAGCTAAGTTAAACAATAATAGGAGACTGAATAGATAGTGGATTTTCCAATAACGGAATCACGTACTGGAGTGTGTCCCCTTCCCTTCACCAGCCATAGCTACAACTAAGATCCAAGGACAGTCAACCTAATGCTTATAAAGTAGTCTAATACAATGGCCTAGCACAGTCAGATTGGTGGTGGTGGTGGTAATGATGGTGATGAACATTCACTGAATACTCAGTATGCCAGGTGCTATGATACTAAATTCTTAGGTTCTACACTGTGGATTAACAGTGGAGCCGAAGCTTCCAAGTGCTCCATTACTTTCTAACTATTGACACTGGGTCAGTTGTTTAATGTGGCTAAGACTCAGTTTTCTCATCTATAAATGAAAGTAATGATAGAGCCTACATTCGACAGCTGTAGTAATTAAAAGAGATGTTTGTAAGGTGCTCGGCCATGGCACCTGGCACATTAGTTAAGTAAATACCGATTATGATAATGACTACCATCACTATAATTCTTTGTAATCCAGTGACATTTGCTTGTGCAGCCTTTCTTGGGTTCCTGTGAAACTTCTCTGGGGAATTTCAGCACCCTGTTTCTCCTTAGTAATACGTGTATCCCTACAGTAAGCTCCCAAGGATTAAAGCACACTTCCTAGACCCACATACCACAAAACGTGCTTGCAAAAAATATCACGGGAAAATGCTATGACAAAATTATAAATAAAGAATATAAAGCAGTGGCATGATGTGCCTAAAGTTACGTCAAAAGGTATATCACACACATTATATATATAGTTATCAAAATATTGAATCCATAAAAGAGTCAGAAGGTAACATACCAAAATATTATGGTTGCTATTTCTGCCTCTCTGGTTAAGAGGATTTTTGTTTTTCATTTGTTTTTAGTTGCTTTTTGAAGAAAGGGGCTCATTTAATATAATCAGAAAAAGAAACAACAGATGCTGTTTGGAGGCAGCTGCAGAGCACTTTGAAAGCGAGTGACCTGCCTAAGGTCATACAAATAGTTTTGGGCAAAAAAGAAAGAAGCTGTCCCCTGACTCCCGACTAGTTTTCACTAGGCCACACTGTGATTCTTTATAGGTTCCTGCTGAAAAACTGTAAAACTGTCATATTACTACAGTGGAACAATAGAGAAATAAGTCGTAACAGAAAAACAACCATTGTCACGGATAAGTTAAATTTCATTGGGCAGTCACCCACATTAAAGTCCTTTATTCACACCTTATACTCACAGGCAACATGAAATTCTACAATCTCTATAAAGTAACCATTCTACATATTTTTTACAAATTGTTCAGAAGGACATCCAATATTAAGAATAGTTTCAATCACATTATAAAGAGTAAAATTCAGATAAAAAGCTATTAGGCATGGTCAGAGATTTTAATGGCTTAAGACTGACGTTAACTAAAGAAAAACTAAGAGAAGAAAGAAGCCATACTTATACATGATTTACAATATACAGCATCATACCTTGACAAAGGAAATTTCTTGTTCTAGATCTATTTACACGAAACCTCTGACATCTGTGTAGCTTAACACATTTGTTAAATAGCTGAAGCTCTCCCTCTAGAAAAATAATTGTTCAGATGTTTAGTCATAAAAATGAATAGACTACCAGAACGTCCTGTAAATAATCATGAAATAGCCATTGCTATCCTTAAATCAATCTTCTTTTAAAACCCTGGCAAAGGCTAAATGTACTTAGGAAACTGAATTTACATGGCCACAGAACCCGACAAAAGTCTAATTTCCCTAATATTGGCTATTGCTTACAACATCAAATTACTTTTTAACCCATTTTTATTTCACTTGGTCAAGGGTTTGTCATAGCTGGAGGTTTAAAACGGGTCCACTAGAAATGGTACCCAAGAATTAACACGATGACTTCAAGAGCTCTGATGTTACCAAGTATCTAGGTGTGATGAAGGTCATAATCTGTCTCTTGGGTGATATTTGCAGGAAAAGAAAATGCTGAGAGAACTGGGATTCCCAAAGAAGATGCTGCAGAAGATATTTTCCACATTAAAGAACATTTGATCTGTTCCACCAGTAGATGAACCATTAGCAGAAGCAATCATTATCAGAGCCAGTAAAAGGAAATAAAGAAATGAGGCTTGGTTTTTAAAGTGACCACACTGCTTCTAAGTCAAGGTGAAAGTGCTGACAGTGAATTTATCAGAATTCCAGGTGGAATCCTCCAGAGTCACCTTTCAATCATAACTGTCATCCTCAGAGAAAAAGCTTTTGTTGAAGAAAAATTTGTACAAACATTGAATAATCACATTGATATGGTAACAATTTAACAATACATTCAATAAGAATGAATGTTACAGTGGGTCACTTTTTCCCTGCTTTTTATCAAACCTTTGTATTTTCCCCAGATTTTACAAGTAATAAATCCTCATTGTAGAACATTTGAGAAAGATATAAATAAGAAAATAAAAGCAGTGCATAAGACTTTCTCTGAGCAATGGCCACTATTAATATGCTGATTCATTTCATAAATGTATATATTTATAATCACACACTCATTTGTGCTTTAGTTATATAGTTGAAATTATATTGAATGTAATGTCCTTTCTTGCTTTTTCATTTTTTCCCTTGCATTTTATTTAACATAAAGGTATAGGTATAGGTCAACTTCTAAATGAATACTTTTATAATGAATTTATATTTAAATTTACAATTATTAAAAATAATTGTTGAAAAATTAGCCTTTATTTCAAAGTGAGTATGGAACCTATTCAAACAAAACATTTTCTAGAAACTCATGAAAGCATTTCAGAATAATTTTTTGACAGTTCTTCCTAAACGAGATCTTGTAGGAAAGAAGTGTTTATGAAGGATTATTAAAATATTACCAAATAGAATTAAGGCAGATTTTTATCTTTTGATTTAACTTGGAAATCATCCATTGCTTCACCCTTTAGTCTTCCTATTTTTGCGCCTTAGAGAAATGTTTTACATGGCTACCAGTGCATTTTAAAATAGTGTCTAATACTGCAAAGTAAGTTGAGATTTCTTTATCCTGTGCTTAAACCTAATATATACTACTTATTCTGTATTTGAAAAATATAGTATAAAGAAAATACCCTTAATGCAAAAAATATTGAGGATCAGTATATTCTTGGAAGCAAATGTGAAGCCTCTGTGTATATGACAAGCCACACACACAAGCACGCATTCAGTAGGAAACAGATCTCCCTCGAAATCTGAGAGGGTAAAATGTTCAAATATTATGCAAACTGGAGAAGTGCCACCATCTCCTGTACGCAGGAGCCTGAAGCTAATTGTACAAGTGGCACGAAGCTGATTTCAGAAAGTAAAAAAAAAAAAAAAGGCTCATGAAACCAGAGGCTTGAAATGTTTTACTGGAGAAAAACCATAGCATTACCTCCTCCTGTGGGATGATAACAATGATTTATGAAGCTGAAGTCATTCCTTGTGATTGCACTTCAGGGAGATTGGTTTCACATGATCTGCGAAGGCAGGCAAGGCGAGCTGAAGAAGAACCCCACATGTTCAACTGAGGCTGAGCTCTGCCTCTTCAAGGGGATTCCAGAGCTCCGAGGAGGGGGAGGAAAACCTACTGCTTTCTGATCCATGCAACCCCCTTCCCCCCAACCAACAAGCTTATTAGGTGGACATACGGCTCTCTTATTTTCTCTCTCCTTTTAAAAAGTATTACTACTTCTGCTGTGTGGGAGTAGAAGCTTGTTGTAAATGCCCAGCAGGATAGTAGCAAAGCCAAGATTAATTCCCTATGGATTTATATGGGTCGTTCTCACCCACGATGACTTGTACCGTTTCAAAGGTGCTTATGCTGCTGTTTTTATGGCTGGTCACTAACTTTATTCTGGCATATGGTGGTTGGCGCCATGACATGGAGTGAACATTTTATACCTGAATTAAAGTGGATATTTGACAGTTTCTGTCAGAAAGTTCAGAGCAAAGAATTTGTGGGACAAGATTTATTGCATATTTTATATGGGACACATCTGTTTCTTTGCTAGCTTTGTTCCTTCCCACAAAAAAATTTAAAGACGTTTCCTAAAGAAATATAATGACTGATAGGAAAAAAATTCCAAAGCAGAAGAAAAATATGGTCAAAAGTTGGGCATTTAGGATCTAACTTTATAAAAAAGAAAGAAAAAAAACCACTTCTCATTTTGACGAGGAAAAATGACTCACAGTCATGTATAGAAGCTCAGTGAAACAATGCTGTTATTATTGGCAATTATTTTATGGTTAGTTTAATGTCATTTATATAATGAAATTAAAAATGTAAATGTATTACCTACCATTTTTCGCATACTTGAAACAGGACTGGCAAGAATAATCTGCCTTTGATGTATTTTTAAGATTTTGCCATCTCAAATGGTGGACTGAATAATAAGTCCAGCTACATCAGTGTTAAACAAAATAATTACAGATATTTAAACATTTAAAACTGATATGCCTAAAGATAAACGCAGACGACTTCCAACCAAAATCCATCAATACAACCTGAAGGGTGTATATAAACTTCTCATCTAAAAACTCCCTGTATTGTAAAAAGTCAACTGAGTAACAAAGATTCATGATTACAACGTGAAGGGTGTATATAAACTTCTCATCTAAAAACTCCCTCTACTATAAAAAGTGAACTGAGTAACAGAGATTCATGATTACATAAAAAGCGGGCTCAACCTGAAACTTTGCGTTAACAGACAGGCCACTTTTTCTTTTAACTGCAAAGAGAGAGGCTTTAATTCTATTATGAAACTGAAAATAAAACTTCCACTCTTAAATATTTTGCAAAATTAATCCTTAACTAATTTAGGTTATATGCATTCTCCTTATAAAAATATAAAACATTACAGATAAAGTCCCCCTGATAGCCCTCTGCATCACACCCTCTGTCTCCCCCAACACATATATATATATAGTTATCTTCTACAACTCAAGTACTGTTATCATTTTGGGAGTATCCTTCCAGAACTTCTGAGTGTCCCTGTGCAAACATGCAAGGTTTCTCTAAGACAGACATAGAGAAGTAGATTTGTTAGTGTTATCAGGTAGACATAGTTTTAATTTATTTGAGACTGTCAGTCCTCCACAATGATAGTATAATTTAATACTACGAAGGGCTGATAATTGTTTTGTCAAACTTTTAAAATTCTGCAAATTACATAGATTTTGGTACCAACCCTTGGTTAAATATTTTGCAAATATATTTTCCCATGCTTTTGCTTGTCTATTAACTTTGTTTACAACGTTTATCATTTTTAAATTTAAATCTGAAACAGTCAAATTCATAAATACTCTTCATGTCTTTTGCTGATTAAATCATTTGCAAGAAGGTCTCGTCTACTCCCAAGGTAATAAAGAGGTCTCGTATTTTAATACTGTCTATATTTTTGGTTTTGCTTTTGTCCTTTAGATTATTATTTGAAATTGTGTGAGGCAGTTTTGTTGTTGTTGTTGGAGATGGATAAACACTGTTCAAATGTCACAGATTTTCTAAGATACAATTTTCTAAGAGATAATCAGATTTTCTAAGAGATAATCAGAGTATCCAAATAATGGCAGATTGTCTTGTCCTCTCTCAGGTTTAAATGAGTCATTTCTTTTTCCTTTCAGCTGCCTGGGTAAAGTTGGTCCATTCGTGTTTATTTTGATTATGAATATATTTAGATTAATCCTCATATTTATTTTGTACTTTTCTTCACCAAGCTTGCTGGCTATTTACTTTTTCACCTTTTCCTAACTTTTGTTGGATTCACCAAACTGTCTTTGCTTCATTTTTCCTTTACTGGTTTGAACATGATAAATTCTAACTTTTTGACTAATAAATATTTAAATCTTTTTTTTTTTTTTTTTTTTGAGATGGAGTCTTGCTCTGTCACCCCAGGCTGGAGGGCAGTGGCACAATCTCGGCTCACTGCAACCTCTACCTCCCGGGTTCAAGCAATTCTCTGCCCCAGCCTCCCAAGTAGCTGGGACTACAGGCGCCCGCCACCATGCCCAGCTAATTTTTGTATTTTTAGTAGAGATGGGGTTTCACCATCTTGGCCAGGCTGTTCTTGAACTCCTGACCTCATGATCCACCTGCCTCAGCCTCCCAAAGTGCTGGGATTACAGGCATGAGCCACCACATCCGGCTAATACTTAAATCTTAACACCCATTATACCTGTGATTTTAAGGTTATCTACAGCTTATTATATCTCAATACCCTAACCTGGAACAATATAAGGGAGGCTTGCTTTTCCTTTCATTCTCCTCCTAAATTCTACGGTCACATCCAATGCCTCATCCCATTTTGATATCACCTGCAATTTTATTTCCACATTATCAAACACAAATGCTTTACATTTTATTAGTAATGCTTTAACCATTATTTTATAAATGTCTTTGCTCATTATACCTTTTGCTACTCCACTTCTTCCTAGATTCATTTTCAACTTGAAGAAGTACAACTTCAAGAGAAGATCTGTGAGATACCTGTAATCCCAGCACTTTGGGAGGCCAAGGCAGGTGAATCACCTGAGATCAGGAGTTCGAGACCAGCCTGGCCAACATGGTGAAACCCCGCCTCTACTAAAAATACAAAAATTAGCCAGGTGTGGTGGCATGCACCTGTAATTGCAGCTACTCAGGAAGCTGAGGCAGGAGAATCACGTGAACCCAGGAGGTGGAGGTTGCAGTGAGCCGAGATTGCAGCACTGCACTCCAGGCCTGGGTGACAGAGTGAGAGTCTGTCACAAACAAACAAACAAACAAAAAAGATGATCTACGATTAGTAATCTTTCTAGGCTCTGCGTTTCTCAAAAGAATTTACTTTTCTCATTTACTTTAATGACAGTTTGGTTAAATTTAGAATTCTAGGTTCTGATATTTTTCCCCTCAGAACTTTACACTTATTACTCCATTTTTTTTTCCTGCATCCAGTGTTGCTGCTCAGAAGCTTCTTGTCTCTCAGCATTTTTCTAAAGCCTTGATTTCTCAAGGTTCATTATAAAGAATTAAGGGTGCACATATGTGTACATTTATTTTTCATTGCCTCTGTTGGCTCTTTCAATAAGAGATGCAATGTATTTTCATTTCTGGGAAGTAATGTTGCATTATTTGAGTATTTCTTACTCTCTTTTAAAAATATTTCATCAACTCAAATTTTAATTTCTATATTCTCTACTGGATTCTTTTTTATGAAGGTGTCTGTATCTTATAGTTCTCTGAGATTATAAAACACACATGTTCTGAATATCTGTTCTGCCTACAAGCATGTTTTTTCAGGTGTAAATTCTCCTGTTTGTTGAGTTTCTTGGCTTTCCTCTGTTGTTGATTCTGGACACGGAACCAATCTTGCTAGTTGAGTCTCACCATTGGGTACAAGAGTAGGACAATATGCTGCAGCTACTCTATCTTGGGGAGAACAGAGGAGGGCAGAATGTTCCATGGGGCAGGGTACTCACTCATATCCTGAGCTACCCAAGGCACTGCGCCCTTTCTCTCCTACCCACGAGCCCCCATTCATGGTCTGTCTCAAAGACAGAGAGTTTCTACTGTTTTTTTTTTTTTTTTTTTTTTTTTTTGAGACAGAGTCTTGCTCTATCACCCAGGCTGGAGTGCAGTGGCTCAATCTCGGCTCACTGCAAGCTCTGCCTCCTGGGTTCACACCATTCTCCTGCTTCAGCCTCCCGAGTAGCTGGGACTACAGGCACCCACCACCATGCCCAGTTAATTTCTTTTTGTATTTTTAGTAGAGACAGGGTTTCACGGTGTTAGCCAGGAAGGTCTCGATCTCCTGACCTCGTGATCCGCCCACCTTGGCCTCCCAAAGTGCTGGGATTACAGGTGTGAGCCACTGCGCCCGGCCGAGAGTTTCTATCGTTATTGCCTACACCAAGGTGGGCCCAAAGAGGTCATCTCTGCAGAATGAGAAAATTCTCACAAATGCCGTTATTCCAAGAAAACTGCTTAAATTTCAAAACTCAAAGTTTTAAGTTTCCTCTCACATACATTCTATGACAGTTCTTACATGTTTTGAGCATTTTTAAAGATTTGTAAACCAACAAAATGCTAAAGTAGCAATTTTACTATTATCATAAATAAGGACATGGTGGTACAATCATAACCATTTTTAAAATACCAATTTTAAAGGCACTATGTGGAAACAAAGCCCCTGAAAGCTACTATTCCAACTCATGCTGGAGGTTTAGTCACACCCCTGGTCCAGAATGCTTCGTGGGTAACTTTCATATTCGAAAAGTATTCTTCACAGAACAGGCTTCTGCGAACTCACAAGGTGGAAGGCATGGAGCCTGGAGCTGTAACATCCTACTGCAAACATAGGGAAGACCACATTGGAACAGTGTGCCCCTGCCAAAAGCCATGTGCTCCCTTCTTTACAGGTCTATAAAATGGCATGTGTGATTAAATAAGATTTCACTGAAGTGCTGGAAGCCACACACAGTTGAAACATGGACTTGGGGATGGCAGCAATGCCACCAGCAACAGATAGTGTAATGTACCCCCCGTGAGAGGGGAAAGGTGGGAAAGGAATTTTTAAAAATCTTTGGTCACGTTATTATTAATCATGTTATTTAATAACTGTGAGTACTATTTAAAAAGCAACACGTCCCATTTCCTTCATACCATGAAAGCCAAGTCTGCCTGGGCTGGAGCGTGGAGCCCAACACTGGTTTTCAGAGGCTCAGATTCTTACATGGTCCTCTTAGTGCGTGCTTACCTCACAGAGTGGATAGATATCCACATGAATTTGACAGATTACACATAGGTAATGCTTTAGAGTTTTTTGAACATTTTCAGAAACAGTATTTTTAAATTTTATTTGCAAGGAAAAAATGCTTATCAGTGGCAAGTCAGGTAGGGTCATGTTCAACATTGGTCAATTATCTCACCCATTCTGATCACTTGCTCTGTTCCCGCCACTGGCTCTTCTTCTCCCTCTTAAATATATTCAGGCTCCAAGGCCCGCTCTCTAGACTCTTTTCTATCTTTTAAGAGACAAGGTCTCACTCTGTCACCTAGGCTGGAGCACAGTGGTGCAATCAAGGCTCACTGGAGCCTCCAATTCCTAGGCTCAAGTGATCCTCCCACCTCAGCCTCCTGAGTAGCTGGGACTACAGGTGTGAGCCACCGTGCCCCAGCCCTCTGTTTTATAATTAGCTATAAATTCAGCTACTCTCGTTCTGCCGATGAATCTCAAATCTCTATCATCAACTCCAAACTACATTCTCAACATCAGATTTGCATTTCCCCTGCTCTGCTGAACATCCTGACATGAATAGCTGTCCAGGAATTCCAATTATTCCCTGAATTGTCTACCATAACACAAATTTGTTCCTTTCCTTGTCTGAGTCACCTCAGTAAATAGCATCGACATTCACTAAGATGATCAAAACCTGGGATTTGGCTCCTCCTTTTGTACAACTCCTACGTTTAAATCCAATTCCTGTCTTTTCTACTTCGAAAACATAGTCTTGAATTCATCCATACTTTTCCATCTCAATTTCCACCAGCCTGGTCCAAGATGCTCATTTTTCACCTGAGCTACTTCAGTAACTTCCTTATCTACTTTTGCCTCTGTGCATTTATTTGTCTACACAGCAACCAGAATAATCTTTTAAAACATGAATGTAGTCAGGTTACTTTCATTTTACAAATTCTTTTAAGGCTTCCTGTAGAATAAAATCCAAATTCCGTCTCATGATCTTCAGGGCCCTGCCTAGGTGGTCTGCCCTAGTTCTAGTTGTATTCGCCCATCTTAATCTCTCAGTATGCCAAGCTCTCAGCTGCCTCAGGGCTGCCAATCATGGTGTTCTTTCTGCGTACGATGTGTTTTTCTTCTATGCTTCCTATAACTGGCTCCTTCCCAGACTTAAATGTCATCACTGTTCTACTCTCCCTACTCTTTTAAAGTAGGTTTCTTAATACCAGCCCTCTTCAGCCAAACCTAAACTTTCCACAATTTGTAATTATACAATGGGTTACTTATTTGCTCTTTTGTCTCTTGCGCTTGCTAATTATAAGTTTATCTGTCCTGTTCATGACTATATAAACTATGCCTGGCACAGTACCTGACACACTGCTGACTCTCAAAAATGGGCTGAAGAAATTTTCTCTATTACCCTTTTCATTGCCATTCCCCTATTATACAGTTGTCTGTTTAGGATTGGCTCTCCTGACTACGTTGTGAGATCTTTAAGCCGGGAGACCGTCTCTTATCTTTGCTCGGCACAATATCTGACACACTGTGGGCCTATTCATAAAGAATGAATGGTTAAGATTAGGTACTCAGTAACCTTTTCCCCAAATTGTATTAGACCTGACATATAAAATCAGTGTGCGAGATGTTGTTTAGAATAAGTAGTTTTGAGAGGTCAAACAACAATGACACTGGTAGTAATAACAGCACATTTTGGATAAGGCTGTTTGGATAACAAAACTCGAATGATGGAAATAGTAGTTAGAAATCACTCAAAGTGAGACTCAAGGGAGCTGACCCTCCCTCTGGATGTCAAAATCTATCACTGACTTAGCAGTGGGGTCCCTAGAGTGTTTCTCAGAATAGTGCTTCCCACACATGTCAAGAGGGCCTAATGGCTGCTTCTTTCACAAGGGTGGTGGGGAGACACGTGAGGTCAAGTGTCCCACAGCCCATAGAGAAGCAGCTCTCCAGGGAGAGTGGAAGACTCTCCAGGGCCCTGCTTAGCGCAGCCTGAGAGGCTACAGGCCAACAGTGAAGGTGTTGAAAGACACTGAGATCGAATTCCCTGGGGGAAAAACGCTGCCCTGAGATTTAAGGAGAAAGAGGAAACAAGCCAAAAGGGTATGCTCAGAAACTGATGGAAAGGGCTAATGTCATCAGATCAAACCAAAGGAAATTAAAGGAAGATTTAGTGAAAAGAGGGCAAAAACAGAATCAAAGGACCCCAGGGAAGCGCAGACCAATTTAATGAGAAACCAGGAAAGTAGTGAGAACAACAAGGGAGTCTCTCTTCATCTATGTTTAATCCAGACTTCTTGCCATTTAATGCTAATGCTTTGCTCCATTCTTAAGTCATACCCACCTAGGAGTTTGCTTTGGAGTTTGTATGTAGGAACGAAGAGAGACCCACCTTCTATTAGAACACTACATGATCTCACACTATCATTACAATATTCCAGGCGGCTTCCAGATAGCATCTTAGCTGTGGAAATGCTATTCTCTTATGTCCTTCCCAGTTTTCCTAGCGCTGGCTCTTTCCAAAGCTACTCATTCTTATCTCCTTCAACTACTTTCTAAATAAACAAGCTGAGAAAACACACACAACTGATGTTTGCCTACAACTGATGCATTCATCTTGTTCTGAAACTAAGTAGAACTACAGGAGAATCAGAGGAGGGGATTCAGGGATGGCATGTCCTCAGGCCTGTTGCCACGTCTCCATTAGGCTCTGAATATGCGTTTATTTTTATAGCTCCCTTTCATGAACAGGTTGTGTGAGACAGAAGTCTTATTTCCAAGGTTCACTTTACTGAGTGGCCTCCAGTCACTCTTTCCAAGAAGAAAGATGGAAAATTATGGTCCAAGCAGCTTTACCGTCCATCTAGGAACCAAGGAGAATGCTGGACCTCAGCCACTCACCAGCTTAAACTGTCATTTATGAGCAACAAAATGATTGTCTTTGGGTCTCGGCAGCATTATCTTGAGCAGAGTTTGTGGCGGTAAGGCCCAGCTAATCACATTTGTCTAATTTTACATTCCCATCACTTTCACAAATGGATTATTACCTACTATTCACTTAAATAAAACAAAGAATGATCAAGGAATCTTGTCGTTCTAGATGAAAATCATAACATATAAGAAAATAGCATTAGTTTTCATGTTTGTACCACTTTCTAACAAAAGAGTTATAATCATTTCACATTATTGTCTTGTTCATCTTTTTAACGACCCAATGAAGAAAGGACATACAGGCCGGACGCGGTGGCTCATGCCTGTAATCCCAGCACTCTGGGAGGCCGAGACAGGTGGATCATCAGGTCAGGAGATCGAGACCATCCTGGCTAACATCCGTCGCTACTAAAAATACAAAAAGAAATTAGCCTGGCGTGGTGGCGGGCACCTGTAGTCCCAGCTACTCGGGAGGCTGAGGCAGGAGAATGGCGTGAGTCCAGGAGGTGGAGCTTGCAGTGAGCGGAGATTGCGCCACTGCACTCCAGCCTGGGTGACAGAGCAAGACTCCGTCTCAAGAAAAAAAAAAAAAGGACATACAGATTGCTGGCTCTCCTTTATAGCAGAGGTCCAGAATGATGTGACTAACTTAAGAACATGAAGTGAAAGAGGTATGGATAAAGAAAAACATGGTTTATTCACACAACTGAATAATGTATAGTGGTTAAAAGGAATCGGACCCAGGCTGGGTGTGGTGGCTCATGCCTGTAATCCCAGCACTTTGGAAGGCCAAGGCAGGTGGATCACTTGAGGTTGGGAGTTTGAAACCAGCCTGACCAACATGGTGAAATACAAAAATTAGCCGGCATGGTAGCAGGTACCTGTAATCCCAGCTACGTGGGAGGCTGAAGCAGGAGAATCGTTTGAACTCAGGAGGCGGAGGTTGCAGTGAGCCCAGATTGCACCACTGCACTCCAGCCTGGGCAACAGAGCAAGACTCTGTTTCAAAAAGAGACAAAGTAATTAGATCCATATGTATCAACATCAATAGATATTAAAAATTAGGATGCAGAATGGTAAGCCCAATATGGTTCATCCTTTCTGTAGTGCAGAATGTCAGAATTTCTTCTTAATTTGGTAAATTTTGATTACTCCAAGTCGTACAAAGGGAAATTCCATTTTCCAAATTAATGGAGCTAATTGAAATGTGATTTTGTAATTCTTTATCATTTAGCATGTTTTTTTTTTTTCTCACTGGGTTTTTGTAACAGTGAATAGACTCTAGCTTGGCTGTAAGAGCTAACAATTTGGATAATAGTACTGCTTTGCATCTACTGCACTCTGCAGAGGATGATTCAAAAAAGAGGCTACTCATCTCCCCTGAGGATGAAAGATAAACATTTGCGGTTAAAATATTGTCACGACTCAGACAGAAGAAGGGATTTAGCCCTACCACTTGGCTCATGTTCCCTCTTAACCAAATCATATTTTTTTAGTAACCTAATAAAATTACTGGGAATAGAAAGCATACATTCCGACTA
Organism: Homo sapiens; assembly: GCF_000001405.40. Classification (NCBI taxonomy): domain Eukaryota; kingdom Metazoa; phylum Chordata; class Mammalia; order Primates; family Hominidae; genus Homo; species Homo sapiens. Next base: position 2,347,223 of record NW_012132920.1, read on the forward strand.
CTAGAAATATTGATACAACAAAGGAACACGTTAGTAGTTTCAACGTCTTTTACTTAAGGATTTCAGAATTCCTCCCAGTGAACAGGGAGATAGGTAGGTAAAATATAATATTTCCTGGTAGATGACCTAAGGCAAAACTCTTTATCTGCTGGCACCTATGTATATTTGCTACACATCGAATGTTTTGTCATCCCCTAGAGGAAAGACACTGGTGGATGGCAAGAATGTCAGTATTTGTTTACTTGGAGCAAGAGGCAGGTCATTTGGTCACAGACTCAAAATGCAATGTGCAAGAACTCAGAAACTGGATAGCAAAACTCCAGCCCAAATGAAGCAAAATTTCCTTCTCTGCTTTCTCAAGGTCTACTCTAGTTAATATTGATGTAACTAGACAAATACCCAATAACAAAAATTTGCCATGCAATATATAATCTAAGATGGCACAACAGTTTATGAGACCAAGCTATTATTCCTACTAAGTTAAAAACATGCGCTCCGGCGAAAGTTCTGTCAACCTTACAGCTCTTTAAATGCATGCATCCAGGAGGACTAGACAAGCCATCTTCTGCTTCCAGCTGCTAGTGTTTCTAGCTGGTGAATAACACAGGCCCCCAGGAGAGGGGGGTGAAAGATAGTTTTCAAAGATTGGAAAATTTCCTCCAACTTACATTAAAATTAATATTAAGGGCTCTATATGTGGCTGCTGGAGTAGAATGGTGGGAATCTAATCAAGAGCCCGTGCCTTCCTTTGAGGCCAGTTTCCTAAAATTGGTTCTCTGTGCCTATATTGCATGAGCTGAAAGCATATGGATGCAATCACATTCCAAGATACCTTATTTGGTGTTGGTATGGACTGGGCATATTGTCTCAGCTTACAAAAGCAATAAGGATTCTCTGACTCCTGCCAATCCATGTAAATCACTCTTTTACCTGTTTAAAGGGTAAGATTCGTGAGTGAGGAAAATAGTTACAACTATTTTGTTACCAGCATATATAACCATGTTCTATATCTAGATAGAACTCTTCAAGTTGTGAGACCTCAGTAGTGGGAAGGGAGACAAGATTTAGACAAATACCCACACAGAAATGAGGGGGGACACATTTCTCCCACGTGGCAGAGTTAGGAGGTACTGAATCCAAATTTTGTCCTTATGTAGAGACCTTATGCTGGTTGAGAAAGCAAAATAACTAAATAAGGATTACTTATATCTGCAACTCATTTTAATGTCTTCTTTATTTTTAAAAGCAAATGGACTAGTGAAGGGAAATTCACTTCTCTGAATACAGGATCATCCCACATTCAGGCTATCCAAAATTTGGGGGATCTGGAAGGCCAAAGACCAAAAATAAAGTAAAAAAAAAAAAGTAAATGAAGTTATTGGATATGAAATAACAAATGACAGGAGATTAAAATCTTCTAATTCTTGTGTCTGGCCATATAACTGAGTGCCACTGACCATTAGATAAAGACAGATTTTTAAAAATAATCACCCCTATTGTAAGGGATAGTCACTCCTGACTCATTGTCTTCTCTTCTTCATTAGTTTGATTGTTTTTCCCTCCAGATCACATTTTTGGAGTTGTTCTTTTGGTGAGATAGTGGTTGAAATAGTTTAATTTTCCTTTTTGAGTCCTGTTTTCACCTCTAGATGAATTTGCTTTTATGAAGGAATTCCATTCCATTTATGATCTAAATGAGGAGGAACTCCTTTAAATTCTTTCCTTTTTTGGACAGCTTCAACCTGTATTTCACTGAGTACCACTGCATGGTAAGTAAAGAGGATACTATAAATAAAGTGTGAAATAGACATCTTCCCTCTCGTATCAGCTAAGTAATTTCTCAAATATTTAAAAATTGAAAGAAGTGCCACAGAGGTAACAGAAAGAGGGGCAGTTATATTATTGAGTAGAAACCTAATTTTCCCAGGAGTATATGTAAGAAAAGCCCTCCCTGTCCGAGGAGACGTCATCATGTGAACTCACATATGAAGAAAGGTGGAAATCAATTAGGGGTAGGAGCAGCGAGGGCCCTGGGGAGTGTTCAAGTAGTGCAAATGACATCTAAAGACGGGATGAAATGTAACCTTTCAGATCGGGAGGGCAGGATCCAAGCCACCAAAAAGTCTAGTGGTTTGTATCCTCCAAACACCCCCCACCACTATAATCTCCCGCCACTTACTCAACCACTCTAGTCCAAGGCACCAAACCCCCATGCTGGATTCTTAACCTGTCCTGATTGAGGTCCTCCTTTAAGTCACATAGATCCAGCCCATCTGAGTTCAATTTCCTCCTTTGTAAAATGGAGATAATAATAGTGCTTTCCTCAAGGGTTTTTTTATTCAATGAGAAATGAGATATTACTTAGTATCAAACTTGGCTGAGAGTATTAAATAAATGTTAGCTAATATTATTTTTACTTTTTTTTTTTGAGACAGGGTTTCGCTGTGTCAACCAGGCTGGAGTGCAGTGGTATGATCTCGGCTACTGCAACCTCCACCTCCTGGATTCAAGTGATTCTCCTGCTTCAGCCTCCCGAGTAGCTGGGAATACAGGCACCTGGCTAATACCGTTGCTAATAATATAACGCACATATCATGGAAGCTTGGGAAGTTTTTATAAAACAGGTGGGGCTTGATGGCAGTTTTGAAGGGTATTTGCTGCTTGCCTAGAACACGGGAAGTGGAGCTGGCAGTCCAAGCTCAAGGAGCCCCAGGAGCCAGGGCTTTGCAGAGGCTGCAGGGGAGGAAAGTGTGTGTGGGGTGGGGAGGTTGGTATTGCATAGGTCCAGGGAGGCAATCATGAGACTCCCTAGACCACAGGAAAAATCTTTTGTGGGAATAGTAAGCTTGGACAAGTAGACTAGAGACTATGAAGATAATCTCTCAGAGACTGACACAAATAATCCACTCATGCAAATAATCTCAAAGAATGCAGCCTTTTTTTTTTTTTTTCTAACTTCTGATTCTTAAGGATGAAGAATGTGGGTGGGGATGCCTGTTCCCGGTGTCAGTAAGTAAAATCTTCTGGTGGGGAAGTATTTTGAATATTTGCAAAGAAAGTTCAATGCTCTCCAAAGTGGAGGTAGAAACTGGCACCAGGGATTTCTGTGTACCTGCCTAGAAATACAGGGCTTTAATCTACAGCCAATGTGAACTTTTGTAACTCTTTAAAACATCATCATTTCTGAGGGACTTCAGACTCTGTTCTGTAGGTCAGCACCAGACCAACAATATAGAGTTCCTGTGATCACTTATGATTTGAAACATAAACTCAGGCTTTGAATGTTTTAAAAACACCCGTATAACTATGGGTTGTTTAAAAATAGCTATACCCCAAAGAGTTTATTTCCAACATCTGACATGAATGCATTTTGCAGCGATTTGTTATGCAAATAATGGTAGCAGGGAAGACATATGAAAAAACATTGACCCTTCTCAAAGCCCGATGGATTTAATGCTTTTGTTAATTCTGAATTCCAAGTCTAGGGGTTGTCTGTTTGTGGTGTATAAAATAAAATACTATATGCCTGCCTCAACTTTCCTTCTGATGAAGCTGTAATTTGCAAAGGAGCTATTGTTCCTCTATGGCTTCCCTAATTTTTCTTCACAGACAACTGTGCTTCAGTGTGGAGAGGGGTTTCAGTGTATTGGCTGTTGAGATGATGCTGTGAGTATTTTCAAGGCAGAGGGGGCTGGGTGCGGTGGCTCACACCTGTAATCCCAGCACTTTGGGAGGCCGAGGCGGGCAGATCATGAAGTCAGGAGATCAAGATCATCTTGGCCAACATGGTGAAACCCTGTCTCTACTAAAATACAAAAAATTAGCCAGACATGGTGGTGAGTGCCTGTAATCCCAGCTACTTGGGAGACTGAGGCAGGGGAATCGCTTGAACCCGGGAGGTGGAGGTTGCAGTGAGCTGAGATCGCGCCACTGCACTCCAGCCAGCAGAAGGAAGAGCTTTTTGAGATGGAGACTCAGGTAGTGCTTGGAATTGCTGATAATCCAAGGCCTGATGATACGGGGGTTATTTGCTGAAGCTTCTATTTCAACTCTCCTTTATGACCCCGGGTTACCTAAATATGTTGCCTTCTAATGTTGTTTTGTGAGAGGTAGGAAGTAGGGTAGACATCATCAGTCTTAGATTTGTCAATGGGAGAAAACCAAGGGACAGACTTTTTTGCCGCCATTTTGTCCTTCTAAAGTGTTAGCTCCTTTTTCCCACTTTACAACTCCTCCTTTCTCCCCTCCTCCTCTGCTCTGCTCTTCTCCACCGCCACCACTCCCAGCAGCTGTTTATTAAATGCCCACTGCATGCTAGCTTTCTAATTTCTTCTTGTCTCTAATGGTCATATTTTAGGATGTCATTCCTCTACTGACAGCTACCACTTCTAGAGTAATCCTAACCTGTAATTCTTTTCTTAGAGGATAAGTAGAAAATACGTAATGGGAGGTGGGGGGAAATGGTTTTGATCTTCAATTAGTGTAACTGATAGGGAGGAAAGGGCTTGGGTTAAGGGAATGTCTTATGAAGCAGCAGCTGTTTTATAAGGGACTCATCTGGAGAAGTGGGGTGTATCCTCTACTGATAAGGGAGAAGACCCACAGAAAGCCAACTAGCATCAAAACAGCCCCAGCATCCAAGCACAGAGGAAGTGAGCCTTCTGACCCCCATGATCTAATAAGCCCCAATATTAGTCCATACAGGAGATGAGCAACATCCCAGGGTGAGTGAGTCAGTCACTCAAGTCCCCGGCCCAAAAGTGTAATGGACTTTGTTTTATGGTTTAATGGACATTTAGCTGAGTTAAAAGGGTTAACAAGTCTGAACACTTCTCTGAAACCTGATGAGATATCCAAGCATCTTTTTTCTGAAGGTCTCCATTGAAAATACCACTTATGAGTAACTTCTGTAAAGAAAACCCATCTGAAAATACCAGAGATGAACCAGCTGCTTTTTTCCCCCTGAACTCTTAGCAAATGATCTAAGGGCTTAAACACATTAAAGGCCACAATTTCAACTTCTGGAATCAATAGGGCAAAGGAATGTGGGCATATTCATTTAAATATGAATTTGCTGACTCCATTCTTACTCTCTTGGGTTCCTCCATAAGCCCAGACCTTACACTAAAAGGCAGCTACTTCTCACACTGCAGCAGGATTTTGAGAACCATCGCCCTTTGTCATCTTCACCCTGACCCTTCTCATCATTTTTTCTGATTCTCAGAACCTCCTGGCATTTATTTCCAATTCAGTTCTGTTTCCTTTCACCAACTCAGGTTAGTTGAGGCTGGACCCTAGCATGCCTGTTTTGTCATACTCTGATGAAAAGCAAATTAAATTCTTGGATGGTAAACTCTTTTCTTAAACTTCTGTCTGGTTCTTTGGAAAAAAATTAAAAATTATATTTCTGTTAATATCAACCAAAATATTGAATCCATCTCAGGATCCTACATCCCTTGACCAACAAGCTGATAAAACTGCCTAGCTCATCTTAGTCAACCTCTTCCTCTCACATGGTGTGTGGAACAGAACTTGGTCTCCCTTGGGCTTCAGTAGTAGCAAATTGAGGAAGTAAGACCTTAATTACATATAACCATGTTTCCACCCTACGTTAGCTCTGTTCCCTTGCCCTTTCACATTTCAAGCTGCCTCAAGGAGGAAAAAATCAGACAGATAAAACACAAACAAAAGACAGAAAACAGGAGCTCAAGGGCTAAATCAAGACTATTAATAGTTCCTCCAAACAAAGAAACCGACTGCCATCATCCAAGCTCTGTTCATCTAATTCTTCCTTTCTCCAAATGTGGCTGAAACTCATCTCCCTTTTAGCCTTCTCTTACTCCCACCGTTATTATTTTCAGCAATTTTTCCCTAAGACAAGGCAGCAGCAGCAAGAAGTGAGAAAATAAAGGTAATCTAGGTAGTACCTTTCTTTGAACAAATAGTTTTCCATCTTTTTCTTATTTCCACTGATCTTGAAAACAGAATCACTGTTTAAAGGGGAGAAGCCCTAGTTCCCTCTGATCACCTTGGTTAATTTTAGAATGGGTGCTTCATATTCACCACACAGAGAAATCTAAGGCTTTTATTCAGGTGAACCCTTCAAAATGATAACATTATGACACCAAAGCTTTTAAAAGTCTTGCTGTTCTGAAACTGCCATTGCAGTTTGGCTTTGTGGCTTTGGATACTCTCAGAGGGAAGGCATCACCTTTGTTAGAGTTTGTGAATTTAAATTAGTTTGGGTTTGTTTGGAAGCAGAGCAACATCAGAAAATCCAGTCCCTTTCTACCTAAAAGCACAAGGCTGCTAGTGAGCAGGCCCATGAGGAAGAGCTGGAGGAGAGGGCAGGACACAGGGATGTCACCCAGCCTAGCTGGGATACGTGTCAGGCCTGACCACGTAATCACAGATACTCATGAACAAGGGAAAGCAGACTATTCAGATACAATGAAAACTGATTTTAAATAAGAGGCATCTCTTATTTTATTATTTTTTCTAAATCGTGGCTCTAAAAAAATAAACTTAGAATTATTTTCCTCTTCCAAAGTGAAATATCTTTTTCTTCCTGGCTTAGACCACCAACCAGGTTTCTGCTGCCGGAAGCCGGGAAAATACTGGATATTCTTTGAGGAAGCCTGATCAGATGCCCTATTATCCCAATTTCCAAACCAAAGATGCTTGGAGATGAAGACACACTTTTTTGGTGTGTGTTCTAAGTTGCAACCTCAAAAACTTGGCAGTTTTCTCACCATGGACTGTGATTTCCATGATGTGATGGTTTGGAAGGGTTTGTTTTCAAATAGATGTTATGGGGTGATTCCAAGGGAATTCTATTTCAATCCTCCTGAGTTGACAACCTTTCCTTCTTAAGTGTAACTTTGGTGTTCAGATAACCTTGGGACACAGACAAGGAAGATTCCCAGTGGTAAATGTCTGTGTGGTACAAAATGGGAAGGCAGAAAGTGAAGCTTGTAAAGTCATGAAAATAAGAAAGAAAGAGCTTTTCATGCATTATCTTTCACACTGTTCTTCTTTTTCTGTTTTTATTTTATTATTATTATTTTTTTGAGACAGGTTCTCACTCTGTTACCCAGGCCGGAGTGCAGTGGCATGATCATGGCTCGCTGCAGCCTCAATCTTCTGGGCTCAAGTGTTCCTCCCACCTCAGCCTCTCTGTACCTGGGACTACAGATGCATGCTATCATGGCCCAGCCAGTTTTTAAAATTTTTTGTAGGATGTGGCCTCCCTATGTTGCCCAGGCTCGTCTTGAACTCCTGGCCTCAGGTGATCCTCCCACTTTAGCCTCCCAAAGTCCTGAGATTACAGGTGTGAGCGACTGCTCACAGCTGGGATTACAAGGCTGCTCACTAGCAGCCTTGTGCTTTTAGGAAGAAAGGGACTAGATTTCTGATGTAGCTCTGCTTCCAAACAAACCCAAACTCATTCAAATTCACAAACTCTAAAAGGTGATGCCTTCCCTCTGAGAATGTCCAAAGTCACAAAGCCAACTGCATGGCGGTTTGGGAATGGCAAAACTTTTAAAAGCTTTTGGTATCATAATTTACTTTTATTTAGGAGGATAGTATAGTTCACATTTTCTCCTTTTTCACAGGTTCTATTTAGTGTCATTTATAGTAGCAATAATTCATATTCTAACTTAGCTTTACCTCAGCAACTCTTTCTCCCCTTACTTTTAGTCTCAGTACTACAAATGCCCGCATGCTTTCTCCCCAGAACCGAGGCCTTCATATTTTTCTCCCTAAGCTGTATATGTCTTACAAACTTGTAAAATGAATGTAAATGAATGTAAAACTTTCCCCTTGTTTGGTGAAGAACAAGAGGATACACCCATTGCTTGAGCATACATCTCCCTCAGTCTCTCTCTTTTTTTTTAGAATGCAAAGTATTTTCTTTTTAAACTTTTAAAATCTGAAAACAAGCTAGCCTATGTTAAATAACATAGTTTCCAAAGCTGAACGTGCTCACTTGGAGCCCAGTTTTCTGCTTCAAATACAAACACAACTTCCTGACACTCCTAGGTGGGAACACTACTGTTTGACGATCTGTGATTAGATGAACTGATCGATCTCAGTGGGTAACATTCCTTTATTTTTTCCTTGGTAAAGGTTTAAAAATTCTAAAATAGATGCATTTTTTTTTTTTCAGTTTTACACTGACAATTTCATTCCAATTGTCTCCTGGGAGACACAGACCATGTACAGGAATCCATCTTCATCCTTCTCACTCTGCTACAATGCTGTGTCTGTTCACCGCCAGGAGGAAGGCTTGATTAGCACTGAGCTGGAAGGACCTTCTAATGATCTTGATGAGCTCACTCAGGTTGATGTGGTCCAGTACAAGGAACATTGCTTTATCCAGGACGGGAAGCTGCTTCTCAGCCTTGTATCGTTCTGTTACTACCAAGATTTTGGGTGGATGCTGCTCTCGGAGAAGTCAAACTTCTACTCTTTGTTCAAAGGTGTGGTGTGGCCTGAAGGTCTTCTCTGATGTCATGGTGCAGGGATCTGGGTGGTGGTGGCGACATAAGGGTTCTGGCGGCTCCTGGGGGTGGCGGTGGCAGTGAATCTAACTCTGGCGACAGTGACTTCTCTTGTCTCCCTCAGTCTCTTTATTATATGCTTGATCCATCAGAAAGTCTCAAGGTTCTATGCACCTCAGCAACCCCAGTGATAAGGCAAGGGGTTCATGGACTGAGTCCTGAAGCCCTCTTGTGTTTAGAGATTGGGAAGATGAAGAACCAGCTTAGGAGATTGAGGAATGCCCATGAAGTAGAGAGAAGACAAAAGAGGGTTAGGACCTAAAGCAAGAAGGAGTTTTCAATCCATCATTTGATCAGCTATATCTAATGCTCCTGAAAGGTGGAGTAAGATTTTGCGTCAGATATATAGGGTCTTTTAGACTGGAATAGTGTCTGATTCTTCTTTTTTTCCTCAGAGTCTCACATATAGTAGATAACTTATAAATGCTGAATGAACAACTGAAAAAGAATAGTAGTGATTGGTCACAGAGAATGGGATGTGCTCTCTGTTAATTCCTTGCCCATCAACAGATGCCCATCCTAGGGCAAAATGGGAGAAAGACTATCATTTCCACAGTCCTCATGCTGAATGGATCCCAAGTGCTATTGCCTCATTTATGTAGCATGATCCAGAGACACTTCCAGTCTGAAGAACTTCAAAGGTTTTAGGAGGCTGAGGTGGAGGGCTCGGGGAGCAATGAAGGCAAGAGGGAAAGGGATGAACAACCACAATAAAAGGCCGGCACGTTCACAACAATGTTGGGCAAAGACAGTGATTCCTGAATATGAAGGAATCTGGAGAGCGAGTCACAAGAAACTGAAAACATAAGGGGGTGGAGGAGATGCTGAGAGAAAACAGAAAGCTATGAAAGAAGGCAGACGCTCAAACCGAGGTAAGAGAGAAAAAATTAAAAGCGGAAGGGGAGAAAGAAAAAAAATCGGAGAGGTGAGGCCAATGTATGGAAAAAGAGCAAAGGAAACACAGGGCCATTGTCTGATGCTGAGAACAGTCTGGAGACTGAGCAACTGGTGCCCGATTTCTGTGCATCTCAAGAGGAGATAAATGGCAGATTGAAGGGACCCTCTTGGCATTCTGGATCCAAGAGGAAAACATAGCAGGCGCAGTGAATGCTCAAGTAAACACAAACAGCAGCAGCCGTGGGGTTACGAGTGACCTGACTGCAGGCTCTGTCCTCTCCTGGCCTCCAGCCTGTGTGTACAACACACATGCCCGCTTAAAGCCCCGCTTAAAGCGGGAGGGCAAAAATCTCCTGCAACTGGGTGACCTCTGTTGTCAGCATTTGGCTAATTAAGGAAAGATATTACCCTACAGATCTCTATGCCTTGGTCCTACTTCCTGCTCATTAAAAAATGGTTTAATGAGAAAAAAATCAAGGCAACAGAATCCAAATTATTATTTTTTCTCCCAAATGAGCTGAATGACAGTGGCTGTTGCCAGAACGCTTGAACAATAGGATTGTGACACGAAGACTGAAATCTAAACAACATGAAGAAATCTCGAGAGCCCAGCAGTCCCCATTATCTCATGCTTGCACGACGATAGTCCAAAAGATGAGTGATGAGTCTCCATTTGTGCAAGCACAGCAGCAGTCCAAGGCCCTGACACAGCCACTAATTGCCCATCTGCTTGTTTACACAGCCCAGAGATGGTGACTGGACAAACAGTTCATTTCCCTTGAAACGGGACCAAACTGGGAGGAGCCTGTCACATGGGACAGAGGAGGACTAGGAAGAACTCTCATGAGAAAGTGCCCCCAGATCAAAGCCAAGGACCAGCAAGCCAAGCAAAGATGGGTTCCAGCGGCTGGCTTCTCACAGGCAGCTTCGGGTCTACCGCTTTCTGCACCCTGCCCACCCACTCCCAGCAGAACTGGAACCCCTCTCCCTGAGGACAGGACATTTTGAACCATTCACGTAAAAGTCTCAACCACGGAGCGTCAGCACCAACCCACCCTTCAGGCGTTGGCAGCAAGGACAACTGTGTTCAGGTGAACTTCTAGCCCTTTCAGACTTCACTGGATGCTTGGCATTTGCTACACTAGTTCCCATTTTAGTGTTCTGCTTGTCTCGTAGACTGGACTGTAAACAACTTGAGCACCAGGGACCTGAAGCCCCCGGATTCCACAGCAGGGCACTTTACATGTGAAGAGCCATTAGCCAGGAAATGCTTATGGTTGTTAATGATGATAAGCTACTCCAAACATAGTTTCTTTTATCTGCCTACATCAGAAGCTTGGCTTCTTGAGACAAGAGACTCAGACTTCTCATTTATACTCTTGACAGACTGTGGAAATCAATAATGGCTTGCACCCATCAGTGTCCTGGAAGTAGGATTGAGAGAGAAGATTCTCTTGAGAACCGATTTCTCCTCAAAATAAGATTAGGCTTGAAAAAAAAAAAATCAACCTCCCCACTGCTTAGCTCACAGGTATGGTGCTAATGGCAGCAACTTAGTCATGAAATGGGGAACAACAATGTAAAAAATCCTTGTTAATTTGCTTATAATTATCCAGAACTAACTACAGGTACACTGAAGAACTGTATACTTGATGGGAGGGAGATCTACACCGCTAAGTCAATAAGACCAATTTCCGATTTTTCCCTGTGAGCATTTATTTGCAGAGCCACATATTGGCAACATAAGAAACTAGCGTTGAACAAACCTAAGAAGTGATGAATCCTCCCCGGGAGGAGAGCTGCAGCCCTGAAATCCAAAGCAGAATGGGCTGGGGGCAGCTTGAGGTCTGTGGGCGAAACTCAGCACTCCCAGTCTAGGGTGCTGCTCACCCATTAACTTGGCCTCCTCTTGCCACTGTTGTTTTAGCCCTTAGTGAGCATCTGTGTGGCTCAGATTTAACCAGACCAAAGGGGCTGTGGTGGTGAGAGGGCAGAGAAAGCTGGAGGAAGAAATGGCTTTTTTTCTGGAGAGGAGTGAGGACTAAGTCACTTCAAGGATGATCATATTCCCAGGAGGAGCCATGATATGATATTATTTGAATATCTAGCTCCACGCAGCTCTATTTTTCCCTTCTCACTACTAGAAGATTGTAATCACCCGGTATCAGCACATTCAAGATACTACCGAGGACCTAACAGCATGCCCAAAACCTCTCATCTCTGCACATAACTGCGTACAAATGACTAAAATCACTTTGCTTCAAAAACAGAGTAGCTGTGTGAAAGGCATTTTAGAGCATGTGGGATTCCACACACAGGCAAGTTCCAGGGATCTCAGAAGCTTGGCTATTTCGTTCAGTGCCAAGGAGGCAAAGATGAGGACAGGCAGTCGTGTGGGTGGGAGGCAGTCCTTGGATGATTAGCACAGGTGTCCAGGAGGGAGGGGAGGGTATGGAAATGGTACAAACATGAGAGGAAGCTGTGCCAGTGGGTCATCATGCCCCATTTGTACAGAACATTGAGTGGACTGTAACTGTGGACAACTGAAATACCGAAAAGAAAATGTGCACACACTGTTTAAATTCTAAACAGTGGGAGAATCGTTGTTTAAAGAAGAACAGATAATTGCTCATTCCACCCTCCCCAGTCTTTGAAAGATAGACACAGGAGTGTCACACAGTACAAGAGTTTGTATTACACAGAAAGAGGGACTTACAGACAGAAACAAAATTTAAAAACAAACAAACCACCAGCATTTATCACCGTTTATCCAGCCAGTGGTTTTCTTTATCCCCTTGGCTATTACTTTAGATATTTTTGCTTGGAACTTCTCCCCCACTTTTTCTGACAGCTCATTGATCTTGGGTTGGATCATCACAGTTCGTGGGAAACAATACAGGCTACTTTTCTAGCTTATTCCTTCTTAGATGCCTCTTGGATATTGTCCATTTAATATGTTTGAGAAATATAGAGAGACAAAACACACAGTGTTTTAATCTCAGAGTATATGTAGTGTGTCCCTGGAGAAGAAGTCTCATATATCCAAGGGAATCATTCCATTATTTTAAAGTAAGGCTTGTATTTCAGATTGATCCACCTGGAACATGTAATCAAAACTCATGAACTTTAATATAAATTCCAGATTCTGGTTTCTTATCTATATTTTTGGGAACATAACATTGGTAGATAAACTAATTGAAAAAAATATTTTCAATGTTGATTTAGAAATGGCTTTTAACTATTTCTACACATTCCATCACTCCATCTCAGAAGAAGCGGAGTAGAAAACTGCAGCAAATGGGACTTTATATTAAAGTCCTAGGAAATATATTCTGGCTGATGTGATGGTTCTTGTGTGTTTCAGTAGGCATGTAACATGTGAATCGCTTTGTGGAACTGGGTTCGTGAGGCTAGTATTTATGAAGCTGTATATTTCCTTCTGTGTAGTAACACAGAGAGTGATTCAGGAGAATGAGAAAATCCTGTTTCCTGGAAATACCATCCATCCTGAAGGAGTTACGAGAACCAGAACAGATATGTATTTTGCTATTTATCTCACACTTAAAGATTATACAATCCATTTTCCTAGGGCAAGCACAAATGGTCAGTTTTATAAATCTTGATGGACTAAGTCAAGTAAAAAAGCCCACTAGTTAAGAGTCCAGATATCGAGAGACACAAATCTGAGGAACGATCAATTAGGACACCGTGGTAGCTTGTCTCCAAGATGTCCATCATCAGCTCTTTCCTTCCCTGCATGTTTGTGCTGTTCTCTAGTTGAACGGTGGCGTCTATTCACTCCCTTAAAACTGGACTGGACTGTGACTTCTCTGAACAACAGTGACGTGATGTTTCATTCCCAGTGTTTGAGAGGATAGGAAATTTCTAATTTCTTTTCCTTGGAACATTTGCTCAGGAAAAAGCCAGTAACTATGTAAGAAGGCTAACTACTGCGAGACCACCATGCTATGAGAAAGCGCAAGCCATGTGGAGTGACTGCACGGGCTCTCAGAGATGCCCAGCCAAGCCCCACCCTCCATCCACCCGAGCCGAGGCTCTGCAGCCTACAGATGATTTCAATTCCAGCCATAATCTAACTCCAACTTCACAGGAGACCTGAAGCAAGAACTAGCCAGTTAAGTCTAATCAACTCATTAAACTGTGAGAGATAGGCATACATTGTTGTAGCCTACTAAGTTTTGAGATGGTTGGTTATGCACTGTGGATTCCTATTACCAATCGGCTATAATTATAAAATATCCACTGGCAAATATAAGTTCCAGAGGCAAAGACTGTGTTCCTTTTGCTCATCATTGTATTCATAACATGCAGCACAGTGCCTAGAACACAGAAAGCCCTAAACTAATAATACGTAAAAGTTTGAAAAAGTTTATCTGTACTAGTATGAAAGAAAGACCCATAGTCAAACGGCTGACATTTTTTAGCAAGTTTGATGGGCACAATAACCTTATGGTGGTGGTATTACTACCTCTGTCTTTGAGATGAGGGAACCTCAGCTTTTTTTTTTTTTTTTGAGGAAGTAAGCTTCCCAAGCTCAGAAAGGTAGGGGAGAGGGCCAGGCATGGTGGCTCACACCTGTAATCCTAACACTTTGGGAGGCCAAGGCGGGCAGATCACCTGAGGTCGGGAGATCGGGGCCATCCTGGCCAACATGGAGAAACCCTGTCTCTACTAAAAATACAAGAAATTAGCCGGGCATGGTGGCACATGCCTGTAATCCCAGCTACTTGGGAGGCTGAGCCAGGAGAATCGCTTGAACTCAGGAAGCAGAGGTTGTGGTGAGCCGAGATCACACCATTGCACTCTAGCCTGGGCAACAAGAGCGAAACTCTGTCTCAAAAAGAGAAAAAAAAAAAAAGAAAGAAAGGTAGGGGAGAGATTTGAACTCAGATTTGTGCAATTCTAAAGCCAGCCTGTTTATTATAGTCTCCCAGGAGACTACAACAGAAACAATGAGAAAACAATTTGAAAGAGATGCAAAACCCACCCCTTGAATCTTACCCAGGACTATGGAGCTCCATTAATTGCTGTCAACACGCTGGAACCTATTTCACATGAAGCTCAGACCAATTACAATTAATGCCACAGTCATGACTACAAACTAGAAACCAATGCCAGAGGAAGCTTAAGTTAAAGAAAGCAACGATCACGCACATATATTATGTTAGCAATTAGGCTTAATCCTAGAATCGTGAAGCCAAAGAGAATATATTAAAGAGAGAACAGTGCCCTCCTGGGAAGAAGAGCAATTTCAAATAGACTTTTTAGTGGCTTTCTACATTACTTACTTGAATATATTATGCTCCCCTAGAATTACTATATTACAATTACTCACGCCACATTTTATTTATTTCAGCAAGGAAATGGGATGGTGCAATGAGCTCAGTGGGCAGACGGTTTGGTTATTTCAATGAATAATTTGAATGTCAACAAGTTGGTGGATGCTAAGATGAAAGGGGAAGTAGTAAATAGCAAAGGTCTCAATGCCTGACTCTGAGATGGAGTAAGGATGAGCTATCAGGACTGGCACTTCACTTCTAAATGTTGAGCACTCAGGTTTTGCTAAATTTATAAAAGCACATGAACTAACTAACATCGCATATTTCCTTAACGAGAAGACCAGTTTATCTCTGTTTAAAACAGTTCTGATCTACTCAAATACACATTTTTAATTTTCACTGAAAAATGTTATAAATAAATCAAAATTTAAATAAAAAAACTGGGAGGGAAAGGTAGATCTACTTCTCAATTCAGAAGATTAATAAAAGGATTAAGGAATTAAATAATCACATTCTCTAGCCTCAGCTCACGACTTTTTCAAGGCTCAGTTTCTCAATAAATGGAAAAGCAAATTCTCATTATTCTCCCAATCTGTTTGAAAGCAGAGCTGGGGTGTTACAGTGATTAACAGTTATCAAGGCCCATTAAAGTTGTTAATTATAGTGGCGTTCACTATCTTTTTCCATCATTTTTAGCTATTGAGACAGGGTCTTTGTGGATCCCAAGGATCATGTGTTTGCAGTTCAATTCAGCAGCCACTAGGTGGTAATATTGTTGATTTTGGTAGCCATGAAGTGTGATCTATCAGACCTGCCCTCTTAAATGGAATTATGTACATCCCTTATATCATCAAGATGTAATTATAGAAATAATTATACTTTAAAATATGTAAAATATTTTAATTGTGAAAAATATAATCCCTTATAAAAGTTCCATGCATATCTGGTACCTTTTAAACTTATGCTAATTCTACTTACCTTTTATTCTAATTATACACATGACTATCTTCAAATTATACATATAACAAAAATAAAGTGTCTGGTCTTAACAGAAATCCAGCTTATATTCATTGCTTCTGGCTTATTTTTAGAAGAGATGAAAAAGATGCACATAACTTTCCTTCTAAAATTATGGCCGTCCTCTGTAGTAAATAATTATTTGCCACTTGAACTTGGAACCACTGCTATTCGCACCATTGGGTAAGTAAAATTTCTGTGATTAACTTTCTGAGACCCACTGTCTGAAGCATCTGATAAGATTTGACAAAATCACGTAACAACAGCAGCGGCTGATATACATAGTGCCAGGTTCTGAGCTAACTGCTCCACATACATTAGTCCTGCGTTCCTACTAGAGCTGCCACAACTCATTTAAGGCCAAATGAACTCAGCAGAAGAAACATACCCGTATTATTTGAAGGAATGAAAAGATCTTTCCAGAATTGGACATTGTCTGCGAAACTATGTATTATATAACATGTATTATGCACAATAACTCCCAGAAGGCAATACAGGTGTTAAGCTCTTTCATTATGAAGAAGACAATAACTGTATAAATCAAAGAGAAGTCTTGTGATAGCATCTTTGATCAATCACTGATGAAAACCTTGCCATAGTTGTCAAGAATCCAAAGAGAAAGTGGTGGCTAGGCCAATAATTACGTGAGGCAATTTATCATGAGAACAACCATTATGCAAGATGCAGAGCTCAATACTGATTCCATAAAATACTTAAATACTTGTCACTGCAATTCTTTACTAATTACAATGGAAACTTTGTTGTTATTGTTGGGAAAGGTAAAAGAGGACCTCTATTAAGACCTCAGAAAAGGAATCTTTGAGGTTAAGCTGTTACCCAAGGTTAAGGCAAATCTACTATTCTGATACTTTTCTCCTTTAGATGATGAAACAAATATGCTTATTTCTATTTACCCCTAGGGTCCTGGGACTCAAAAGAAACCAAGTGGTTCTCTAAGTTAGTAGGATGGCACAGTAACAACGCTGGGATTGAGCTCACCCTGACCCTGAGTAAGTTACCAAGACCCTCAGACTCAGTTTTCTTATCTGGAAAGTTAGGAATGAAAAAAATCAGTTTCAAAGGATTGCTGCAAAATTAAATGAAGTGCTATGCACCTGTTGAAGTCAAGTATAGCATGCTCCCCAATCACCCCCCAACACACACACCAGAACTAACAATTCAGGAAGGAAATTTTCAGTATATTGGTGTTTCTCACAGAGGGTCAAAGTGGGACAATAAGAATGCCTTAAATGTAACACATTGTATTTATTAAAGCTTTATAGTTTATATGGTGGTTTCCCATGTATGTTATCTAATTTCATCTTCATAATGACACTGTGTACTAGATATTACTATTCCCATTTTACAGACAAGAAAAAAAAAAAGGCCCCAAGAACTTAAAATCCTTTGCAAAATCACATAGAAAGGTTAAGTGGTGAACCCAGTGTTCAAACCTAGGTCTTCTGACTTCAAGCACAAAGCTCTCTCACTACATTCAGATCACTTAAAAACACAACATTTTATTGTGCCTATCGTTAATAAGACTGTATTGCACACTTAAGAATTTGTTAAAGAGGGTAGAATTCATGCTAAGTATTCTTACTAAAATAATAAAAGTTGTATGTATGTAGAAAAAAGTATTGCTTAATCTAATTAAACTAAACAGCTTCTGCACAACAAAAGAAACTAGCATCAGAGTGAACAGGCAACCTACAGAATGGGAGAAAATTTTTGCAATCTACCCATATGACAAAGGCCTAGTATCCAGAATCTATAAGGAACTTAAATTTACAAGAAACAACCCCATCAAAAAGTGGGCAAAGGAGATGAACAAACACTTCTCAAGACATTTATGCGGCCAACAAACATGAAAAAAAGTTCAACATCACTGATCATTAGAGAAATGCAAATCAAAACCACAATGAGATACCATCTCCCACCAGTCAGAATGGCGATTAAAAAGTCAAGAAACAATAGATGCTGGTGAGGCTGCAGAGAAACAGGAATGCTTTTACACTGTTGGTGGGAATGTAAATTAGTTCAACCATTGTGGAAGACAGTGTGGCGATTCCTCAAGGATCTAGAACCATAAATGCCATTTGACCCAGCAATCCCATTACTGGTATATACCCAAAGGATTATAAATCATTCTGCTATAGAGATGCATGCACACGTATGTTTATTGCAGCACTATTTACGATAGCAAAGACTTGGAACCAACCCAAATGCCCATTGATGATAGACTGGATAAAGAAAATGTGGTACATATATACCATGGAATACTATGCAACCATAAAAAAGGATGAGTTCATGTCCTCCTAGTTTTTCCAAAACAAACTAATGAAATGTGAAAAGGGTGAATTC